>NC_000010.11:12434242-12585757 GCF_000001405.40 Homo sapiens | reverse complement strand
ATAATTCCCACGTGTTGTGGGAGGGACCCAGTGGGAGATAATTGAATCATGGGGTGGTTTCCCCCATACTGTTCTCGTGGTAGTGAATCAGACTCATGAGATCTAATGGTTTTATAAAAGGAAACCCCTTTCACTTGGCTCTCATTCTCTCTTGTTTGCCACCATGTAAGATGTGCCATTCACCTTCTCCCATGATTGTGAGGTCTCTCTAGCCATGTAGAACTGTGAGTCTATTAAACCTCTTTTTCTTTATAAATTATCCAGTCTCGAGTATATCTTTATCAGCAGCGTGAAAACGGACAAATACAGTGGTCCAGACTGAGCCCTCCTAGGAACTGTACTTGGTCATTGCATTTGAGAAACAACTACAGGGTCAGAATGGAGACCCCAGGCGGAGGCAGCTTAAATCCATATTTTTCAATGTGTGGCCTCCAGGCCAGTAGGCCCGGCATCACTGAGTGCCAGAAATGCAGAGTCTCAGGCCCCAGCATCTGGGGACGGGGCCCAGCAATCTGCATTTTCACAAGCCCTCTGGGTGGTTCTGATGACCTTAAATTTCAGGAACTACCAGCTTCAATCTCCAATTATTCCAAGAAAGCCTGGCTGAGCTGTGAAGAATTTCTCAGCGAGGGCTTATCCTCAACAGACCTCTTTGTAGGGGAGGCAACATGTTTGATCTGAACATTAGCTCCCAGCCTAATGACTGACATGATCAGGACATAACCTAGCTGCCCAGCAGTCCAAATGTTCCTGGTAGTCTTTTAAATCTATATGTGACTTGCTTATTTTTGTTGGTTAGCTTTTTTAAATGCAGGAATTGTAAAGCATGTTTGTATTAGGAAGCAATGTGATATTCCAAAAAAAGGCTTCAATTCAAGGAACCTCGATTTTAATTTCAGTTTTGGCAAGCTACTGGGCCTTTCTTTTTCTTTTTTCTTTGGACAAGGTCTTGCTCTGTCACCCAGGCTGGAGTGCAGTAGCATGATCATTGCTCACTGCAGCTTTGACCTCCCGGGCTCAAGCTACCCTCCCACCTCAGCCTTCCTAATAGTTGGGACCACAAATGCACGCCACCACGCCCGGCTAATTTCTGTATTTTTTGTAGAGCTGTGGTTTTGCCATGTTGCCCAGGCTGGTCTCAAACTCCAGGACTCAAGCCATCTGCCTGCCTTGGCCTCCCAAAGTGCTGGGATTACAGGCGAGAGCCACCACGCCCAGCCTACTGGGCCTTTCTGAGTCTCAGATCCCTCTTCAGTAAATTGGATCCTTGATACCCACCTCTTTGTGTTGTTATAAAGTCTGAGAAAAAATATGCACAGCAACAGAAATATGTGTAGTCAACAAGTAGAATATGCTATGACCATTATCACCATCATCACCAGCATGGTCATTATCTCTCCTCCTCCGAGTCATCACACATTTATGGCCTACGTCTTAGACGATGACCTCAATGGCTTTAGTGGGGAAATCCAATTTTCTCTTCCTGGAGAATCACATTTTACTTATCCTTAATTATCCCTTAAAATGTATTGCTACTTTTCCAAATAAAATCAATATACCCTTGTTAGCTTGTCAGTTAAGTACTCACACAAGTCTTAGGGTTCAGGCATCACTTTAAGAATCTGCACTCACAAGACATTAACCAGAACCTGGGATAATCAAGTTCAACTTCCTGCTCTCTAAGCATGCAAAGATAAAAAGGAATATAGGTGCTCCCAGGGTGAAGAAACTGTTTACACTGAAGACACATAAAAACCATCCCAGAGTGCTGACAGGCAACTTGGCTATTGTCATGTCCTGATTATCCTAAATCTGGCTAGTACAATTACACTCACACAGGCCTCAAAAAGATTAAAACACAGCCAGGTGTGGTGGTTCACACTGAAATCCCAGCATTATGGGAGGCAGAGGCAGGCGGATCACGAGGTCAGGAGATCGAGACCATCCTGGCCAACGTGGTGAAACCCCATCTCTACTAAAAATACAAAATTAGCCAGACATGGTGGTGCACACCTGTAATCCCAGCTACTCGGGAGGCTGAGGCAGGAGAATCACTTGAACCTGGGAAGCGGAGGTTGCAGTGAGCTGAGATCGCGCCACTGCACTCCAGCCTGGTGACAGAGAGAGACTCCATCTCAAAAAAAAAAAAAAATAAAACAACAACAACAAAACACACACAAAACCAAAGAAACGTCAAAGGGGAAATGCTACCTGAATGAGCAAGGTCAAAGCACAGAGTGTGGCAGAAACACACAGGGACACTCAACCCTATTCACTCATTTGACAGACAACGTCTGATCAAATTTAAGGGATTTTCCTATTAAGAAAAAAGCATCATCTTTGCTGTTTATCCTAAAACATAGCTGACTAAAAATGGGATATGCTATTTTAACAATGACGAGTATCAAACCATATGTTTGCCAGGACAATTTCTTTTACGTCACACACTAAGGAAAAACCAAACTCATATCATTGGAACCATCCCAGCAGAAGAGCTTGGGAAATCAGCCCATCCATTGCCTTCTCTAGATAGAGCTACAACTGTCCCTGTACAGATGTATTTTCCAAGTTCTCCAAACAAGACACTATAGTTCCTCATTCCAATACTAGATAATCTTCCCCTGATAAAAAATTGTTGGGCTTGTTTCTTTTGTTTTTGTTTTTGAGACAGAATCTCGTTCTTTCACAGATGGGAGTCTTGCATGTTGCCTAGGCTGGTCCTCAACTCCTGGGCTCAAGTGATCCTCCAGCCTTGGCCTCTCAAAGTGCTGGGATTACAGGCGTGAGCCACTGTGCCCAGCAAAAAAATTGTTTTTATCCAATTTAAATTTCATCTAGGACTTCTGCGTCCTGGACTACCATGTGCTGATCCTAGCTCAGCCAATGACTTTGTGGTAAACAGTGGGTGTTTAATTTTCCTGGGACTCACTGTCTTCACTAAAAAGTAAAAGAGATGGATTATTGTTCTAATTCTTCAAGGACTTAAAATTAAAAAGCACACTTCTGATAAATGAATTCAGCAAAGTTTCAGGATACAAAATTAATGTACACAAATCAGTAGCTCTGCTATACACCAACAGTGACCAAGCTGAGAATCAAATCAAGAACTCAACCCCTTTTATAATAGCTGCAAAAAAATAAAATATTTGGTAATATACCTAACCAAGGAGGTAAAAGACCTCTACAAGAAAAACTACAAGACACTGCTAAAAGAAATCGTAGATGACACAAACAAATGGAAACACCCCCATGCTCATGGATAGGTAGAATCAATATTATGAAAATGATCATACTGCCAAAAGCATGCAATTCCCATCAAAATACCACCATCATTATTCACAGAACTAGAAAAACAATCCTAAAAATTCATATGGCACCAAAAAAGAGTCCACATAGCCAAAGCAAGACTAAGAAAAAGGAATAAATCTGGAGGCATCATTTTATCTGACTTCAAACTATACTATAAGGCCATAGTCACCCAAACAGCATGGTACTGGTATAAAAATAGGCACATAGACCAATGAAACAGAATAGAAAACCCAGAAATAAAGCCAAATACTTACAGCCACTGATCTTCGACAAAGCTAACAAAAACATAAAGTGGGGAAATGACAGCCTATTCAACAAATGTGCTAGGATAATTGGTTAGCCACATGTAGAAGAATGAAACTAGATCCTCATCCCTCGCTTTATACAAAAATCAACTCAAGATGGATCAAGGACTCACATCTAAGACCTGAAACCATAAAAATTCTAGAAAATAACATCAAAAAAACCCCTCTAGACATTGGCTTAAGCAAAGACTTCATGAGCAAGAACCCAAAAGCAAATGCAACAAAAACAAAGATAAATAGATGGGACTTGATTAAACTAAAAAGCTTCTGCTCAGTAAAAGAAATAATCAGCAGAGTAAACAGACAACCCTCAGAGTGGGAGAAAAGCTTCACCATCTATACATCTTACAAAGGACTAAAATCCAGAATCTGCAAGGAACTCAAACAAATCAGCAACAAAGAAATACAATCCCATCAAAAAGTGGGCTAAGGACATGAATAGACAATTCTCAAAAGAAGGTATACAAATGGCCAACAAACATAGGAAAAAAATGTTCAATATCATTAATGATCAGGGAAATGTAAATCAAAACCACAGTGTGATACCACTTCACTCCTGCAAGAATGGCCATAATCAAAAAATCAAAAAACAGTAGATGTTGGTGGGGATGCGGTGAAAAGGGAACACTTCTACACTGCTGGTGGAAATGTAAACAAGTAAAACCGCTATGGAAAACAGTGTGGAGATTCCCTGAACAACTAAAAGTAGATCTACTGTTTGATCCAGCAATCCCACTACTGGATATCTACCCAGAAAAAAAGAAGTCATTGTACAAAAAACATACTTGCACATGCATGTTTATAGCAGCACAATTCACAATTGCAAAAATATGGAACCAGCTCAAATGCCCATCAATCAACGAGTGGATAAGGAAATCGTGGTATATATATACCATGGAATACTACTCAGCCATAAAAAGGAATGAAATAATGGCATTTGCAGCAACCTGGATGGAACTGGAGACCATAATACTAAGTGAAGTAACTCAGGAATGGAAAACCAAACATCGTATGTTCTCACTCATAAGTGGGAGCTAAGCTATGAGGATGCAAAGGCATAAGAATGACACAATGGACTCTGGAGACTTGGGGGAAAGGGTGGGGATGGGTAAGGGATAAAACACTGCACACTGGGTACAGTGTACACTGCTCAGATGATGGGTGCACCAAAATCTCAGAAATCACCACTAAAGAACTTATTCATGTAGCCAAACACCACCTGTTCCCCCAAACCTATGAAAATAAAATAAAGGAAAAAAGCACAATGCCCCCACAGAATGCTGGCCATTCAACACAATAATAAATATATGTTAGCTGATGTCAGTTGTTCAATTTCTCCAGGTAAAATAATACTTTTCAAAACAATACACACATTTCCCAGAACCTAATTTCCCACCATTGGCCATTCCTGGGGTTCCCCATAGGACCCTCTCCACACACTCCTGCATTCTTCTTAGGCTGGGGTCCATATGAACAGGATGTGGTTCTCCATGACTTCTGTTTTTCTCTTTCTAGTGGGGCTTAAATGGTACAATCTTTTATGATTTACATTCCATTTTTCAAGTACAAAGTGAAGTTTCTTCTAGTTAATAAGTCCTGTTTGAAGAGTAAGAGTTCTGCATACAAAGTACATGTTTCACTCTCATCGGAAACCAAGTTCTCAGAGGAGTTAATCTGTAGCTAATTCAACAATTGCAGAGTCACTAGCTTTGTACACCAAATACTGTCACCCGGGAGACAAGGGGTGAGAAACAGCAGGCTCCAGTCTCCCATTAAAGCTATATTAAAAAAAAAAAAAAAAAAAAGGAAGGAAGGGAGGGAGGGGCATATTTTAGTCCAGATACATTGGTACAGCCTAGATGCCCAATTCCTAAACATCTGTTAGTGAAACTAGTTACAGATGATGTTGACGAGCAAATCGTAGCCTTAAGAATTATCTCAAGACAGGACAGATCTGGCTCACACAGCCAGGTCTGAATGACTAACCCTTTAGGAAACCTCTCACCAGGGAATTCTGGCTGTGCCGAAAGGCCCTGCGAGGTTCCACAGAGCAGTATTTTCCTCCCCAGAGGAGATGGCATCATGGGTTTTCTGCTGAAGGAAAAACGCCCCAGTGGAGGCCAAGGGAAAAAGCTTAGAGCAGACACTCTCCTAAAGGATTCCACCCTGGCTGAGAGTGGACACTTTTCTAAAGAATTCCACCTGAGCCAGGGCAACAAGCAGGTTCAAAACTGGCTTTTGAAACTCAAAGCCACTCCGTGAATCTCCAACCTATCTTGGTGGGAACTCATGGAGACAGATCCAGAGAAGAGATCCGACCTCTCGCTTAAGAAGTGTGAACCATGACAAGGGTGGTGCAGCCCACGGTCCCCATCACAGTGAAGGCATCTAAGAGCACAGAGAGACAATTGTGACTGGTCTGGTCCGGAAGGCTTCATGTTTGCGTAACACTGGAGCGAGCTTGAGAGATGGTCAAGATTTTTGACAGGTAGGGAAAGAAAAGGGTACAGGGAAAAAGAGTAGTAGATGGAGAGAAGAGAAAGTTATTTTTGTTTGCTCCAGTGGGAAGAGACAGACACATCATGAAAGATCCAGCAGGAAACACAGACTGACCCCCAAATACAGAAGGCCTGGAGCACCAGACTCAATGGTCTGACCACATTCCAAAGGCAATGGAGAGCCACTCTTTAATGGAGAGAACAAGATGATCAAAGAAAGCTACATGATTAAATTGGCTTAAGTAATACATGATGGATGAGAAGAAGTGGAGAGAAAAGGCTGCTGCAACTGTCCAGAGATAAGGCCACGGGGCCCAACACAGGATTCAGAAGAAGGAAAGGAAAGGAAGGGAAAGATATGAGGAATGCTATGCAGGACTCTGTAACTGCAGACCCAGGAAGTGGAACAAGAAGAGGAATGCTCCCCTCATCCTGCATCAGCCACGATGCTGTTCCCTGCCCATACCATGCTGTTCCACACCCACAGCCTCACTCAGGCGCCTTCCGAGGACTCCTCGCGCTCCCACACCCACCCAGCCAATTGTTTCTTGCTCTTTGAAGCTCTGTTCAATTTCTCGGTGAAAGCCCCTTCCCTGGAGCAGACACACTTCCCTATGCCCTTGAAGCATATGGCACTTCTTAAAGGGCTGCTGTCTTCTGCTCGTGCCTCTGGGCACCCACTAGACTGCACATTCCCCAGCACAGGGCTCATGTGCTATGCGTCTCTACCCACCGTGTTCACATAGCACCTGAAAACAGTCAATCGAGTGTAGAGCTTCAGCTTGTTGTCTCTAAAGTCAAACTGAACTGGTGCAAATCATCACAGAGGTAAAGTAACTTCCACTTGGCTACTTACTCCCTGGGTGGCCCTGTGGAGGTCAACTCACCTCTGCAATGGTCAGGTTTCTCAGCTGTTAAAAGTGGGTCATCGGTCTCGGTGCAGTGGCTCATGCTTGTAATCCCAGCACTTTGGGAAACTGAGACAGAAGTATTGCTGGAGCCCAGAAGTTCAAGACCAGACTGGGCAAACTAGAGAGACTACATCTCATCTCTACAAAACTTTTTTTTTTTTTTTGAGATGGAGTTTAGCTCTTGTTGCCCAGGCTGGAGTGCAATGGCACGATCTCGGCTCATAGCAACCTCCGCCTCCCGGGTTCAAGCGATTCTCCTGCCTCAGCCTCTCGAGTAGCTAGGATTACAGGGATGCACCACCACGCCCAACTAATTTTGTATTTTTAGTAGAGACGGGGTTTCTCCATGTTGGTCAGGCTGGTCTCGAACTCCTGACCTCAGGTGATCCATCCGCCTAAGCCTCCCCAAGTGCTGGCTGCCTAAGCCTTCCAAAGTCCTGGGATTACAGGCGTGAGCCACTGTGCCCAGCCCTACAAAACATTTTTTAAAAAATTAGCCAGGCAAGGTGGTGCATGCCTGTAGTCCCAGCTACTTGGAAGGCTGAGGTGAGAGGATCGCTTGGGCCCGGGAGGTCGAGGCTGCAGTGAGCCATGATGGTGCCATTACACTCCAGCCTGGGCAATAGTGCAAGACCCTGTCTAAAAATAAATAAATAAATAAAAAGCAGACTATCACAATACCTTCCGTGCAGAGTTGCTGTGAGGATGTAAGATAATGCAAATATAAACGCTGGCAGCTGTGCTTGCCTAATAAATGTTAGCCAATATTACTGTTAGCATTGAATACCAATTTGTTGACTGCATGGATGATTGGATGAATAGGTGGAGATTCCATCTTTGATTTTTTACGTAGATAACTGGGATCCTGGGAATGACATTAGCAAAGGTAACAAGGAGGACACCACGTGGGTGGGGAAGGAGGAAAATGGGCATAATCTTGGAGGGGCTGAGTTAACGATGTCAGCCAAGCATCATACCCCGTTATGGGGCATTGGCCGGAGTGGGGTTTAGGTCTCCAGAAGTCTCATGAATAGAACCCCTAAGACAATCTGTAGCAGGAAGAGGGAGTGAACCAATCGAGAACTGGTGGCTTAGCAGCAAAATACAGACAACAAAAGAGAAAGACAGAGACTTTTTGAAAACAAAAAAAAATCTCCTATTTGATCATTCCGAAATAGCCATGATATAGTAATAATGGCAGAAACAGAACTTTGTTGGATCTCTTTACATTTATTATATGGTTTAAAATGCTTAATTTAGTTCTTTAAATAAAGAAGAAAAGCAATGTGCTCTGCAATGTTTCAGTGCTTTGGGCCTGTAACGATCTGAATCCAGAACTGGGTAGATCCAGGCTGGAGGCCTAGAGGGAGAGGTCAGATTCAGAACTGGAGGTGGCAGGTGTTAATCCACCAAAGGGCTGGAGGCATAGTTCCTAGTGAGAGACCTGCAAGCCTAGAGCTGGAACTGGGCTGGGAACCCAACACGGCGACATACAGAACCAGCCAGGAATTTTCGCTGTGTGTCCGGGGACCTCCCCTGGGCTTGTCCTGGCTTGTGTTATTGGCCGGGGGGACTGCAGCATACATGGGTGAGTGACCAGAGGGCTTCAGCATACAGAGTCAAGGTGGCCGTCACCTCCTGCAAGTGCCCCAGCCTGGCACATATTAACAAAGGCATCCCAGTCCGTGCTAGAAACCAAGATGCACGTGAAAGTGTTCTGGAACTGGTTCCACGGCCTCTCTCCACCCCTTTCCCCAGGCTGGGTTTTGGGGCTCTGTGTCACTCGCAGAGATGTGGTTCCTTTTCTGCCAGACACTCCAGCTCTCCATTCTGAGATAGACGGCATGCAGGTGTGCTCACTGACTGACATGCACAGGACCAAGCCAGACACCAGCATGGATTTGTCTACAAAGCTCTAGAAATACAGAGCCGAGTCTCCAGAACGGCAGTACCAGGCCGTGGAACCGGGCCGCACACCAGGAAGGTGAGTGGTAGGCAAGTGAGCATTCCCGCCTGAGCTCTGCCTCTTGTCAGATCATTGGTGGCAAAAGATTCTCATAGGAGCATGAACCCTATTGTGAACTGTGTATGCAAGGAACCTAGGTTGTGTGTTCCTTATGAAAATCTAATGCCTGATGATCTGTCACCATCTCCCATCACCCCCAAGTAGGACCATCTAGTTACAGGAAAACAAGCTCAGGGCTCCCACTGATGCTACATCATGGTGAGTTGTAGAATTATTTCATTATATATTATAATGTAATAATAATAAAAATAAAGTACACAATAAATGTAATGCACATGAATCATCCTGATATCATCACCCTCCCCCTCCTCCGGTCAGTGGAAAAACTGTCATCCATGTAGGCAATCCCTGGTTCCAAGAGGGTTGGGGACCACTGCTCTAGAATAATAGTCTCCAAACTGTGTTAACTATGTGCCCCCTTCAGTACAAAATACTCAGGTACAAAACCCCCAAAATAGATACATTAATTTATAAATTATAACAGAGATACCACTGCACTCATATCTTATGTAAATTTAAAACTTACACAGCCTTAAAACTTTAAATAATTCGATCAAAGAAACAACATAAATAAACTATTTTACTTAGGAACAATGCAGTTCACATTTTTGCTTTCACTAGAAAAATGTTATGAATAAGAGAGTATTTTAAGTGAGATCAATGAAACTGAATATTTCATTTGTATTTGTATTGTTACTAAATTGTTTTATCCTTGTAACATGACTGACAAAGAACTCCCAGGAGCAGAAATCTGAGCTCTTTCATTATCCTCTTGTGTGCTTGCGCTTGCATTTTTAATATTATCTTCAAGCCATGGTTTCCTTCCAGGAATCTTCTTAAATTCTTGGTCTATTTTGTGAAGGTTGGTTTAGGTAACACTAGGGGATACAACCCACAAATCCATTTAACCAGCCACATGCAAACCACCACTGTCTTCTTAAGCTCAAGGCAGAGGAGCGCGAATTCTTGGGGGGTCCACGGGTCCCTGGGAATGAGTCACAGGCTTGTGACTGTCTGCCTGACAAACTGTCAATCCAAAACAATACTCATGATTCTTAACTTCCTCCTCATTCTAAAAGATCAAATTATAAGTGGAAGTGCTACCATTTTCTTTCTGCATCCCAATGGACCATCTTGTCTACCCACTTTGGAGACCACTGCTTTAGAGAGACATGAAGGCTGGAGATTTTGCCCTGGACGTCCTCCAAATTAAAGTGAGAGACAAACCAAGGGGGATTCCAGAGATGGACATTTGGAAAGCAAAGGAGACAGGATATCAAATTGTTTTAAATGTCCCCAGCTAAGAAACAGGAGTGATGGCTGGGTGTGGTGGCTCACACCTGTAATCCCAGCACCTTAGGAGGCCAAGGCGGGTGGATCACAAGGTCAGGAGTTCAAGATCAGCCTGGCCAACATGGTGAAACCCCATCTCTACTAAAAATATAAAAATTAGCCGGGCCCGGTGGCAGGACCCTGTAATCTCAGCTACTTGCGAGGCTGAGGCAGGAGAATCGCTTGAACCTGGGCAGCAGAGGTTGCAGTGAGCCAAGATCGTGCCACTACGCTACAGCCTGGGCAACAGAGTGAGACTCCATCTCAAAAAATAAAAAGAAAAAGAAAAAAGAAAAAAATAGGAGTGATAGGGGTTGGATCCGTGTCCTCACCAAATCTCATGTTGGATTGTGGTCCCCAGTGTTGGAGGTGGGGCCTGGTGGGAGGTGATTGGATCATGGAGGGCGGTTTCTCATGAATGGTTCTGCACCATGCCACTGGTGTTGTTCTCCTCATAGTGAGTTCTCGTGAGATCTGGTTGTTAGAAGCGTGCAGCATCTCCTCCTTCACTCACGCTCCGGCTCCTGCTCCTGAGGAGCATGTGAGACACTTTGCTCCTCCTTCTGCCATGATTGGAAGCTTTCTGAGGCATCCCCAGAAGCAGAAGCCTCTATGTTTGCAGTACAGCCTGCAGAACCATGAACCAATTAAACATCTTTTCTTATAAGTTACCCAGTCTCAGGTAGTTCTTTATAGCAGTGTGAGAACAGACTAACACGAGGAGGAAGAAGTCAGCAAAGGAGGTAAGAAAGAATCCCAGGCCAGATGCAGTGGCTCACACCTATAATCCCAGCACTTTAGGAGGCCAAGGTGGGTGGATCACTTGAGGCCAGGAGTTCAAGACCAGCCTGGGCAACATGGCGAAGCCCCGTCTCTACTAAAAAAAAAAAAAAAAAAAAAAAAAAAAATTAGCTAGGCGTGGTGGTGTGCACCTGTAATCCCAGCTACTCAGGAGGCTGAGGCATGAGAATCGCTTGAACCTAGGAAGCAGAGGTTGCAGTGAGCTGACATTGCACCACTGCACTCCAGCCCAGGCGACAGAACAAGGCTCCAACTCAAAAAAAAAAAGGACAAAACAGAAAGAAAGATCCCCTAGGGAAGGAGGGAGGCAAATGTACTTAAGCAATGTCATAATTAAAGAATCTGAGTTTTAAGAAGGGGTTGGTGGTCAAGAAGTGGTCAACAGGGCCCAGTGTTTCAGAACAGTCATGGGGACTCTGCATTCTGCAAAGGCTATGATGTTTGGCAACTCAAGAATCATTGTCAAGTCTTTAAAGAAACAGTTTCAGTACAATGGTTGGTCAAAAGACAAGTCCTAAAGGGGTTGGTGAATGAGTGGATAAGTGAGGAAGTACAGCTGCAGATGTAAAAATACAATATAAATAATTTAAAGAAAGAAGGTGCCAAGTGCAGTGGCTCACACCTGCGATCCCAGCACCTTGGGACGTCAAGGCAGGAGGATCACTTGAGCCCAGGACTTTGAGACCAATCTGGGTAGCAGAGTGAGACCCCATCTCCACAAAAAAAAAAAAAAAAAAAAAAAAAGTTTTTTTAATAAGCCAGGCATGGTGGCACGTGCTTGTAATCCCAGCTACTTGCGAGGCTGAGGTGGGAGGATCCCTTGAGCTCAGAAGTTTCAAGGCTGCAGTGAGTCCAGATCAGGCCACTGCACTCCAGCCTGGGTGACAGAACTGACTCAAAAACAAAAAACAAAAAAAAAGAAAAAGAAAAACGTAAGAAAGAAGGCAAGGAAGAAAAAGAAGGAAAGAAGAGGAAAGCTAGTAACATCCTGAAATTGTCACAGTCTATCGAGTGAAAACCATTGTTCTAGAAGCCAGAACTGCAGAAAGTGAGTCCCCCACTCACACTGCCAATAAGTGTGTGCTCCATTTGGTCCACCTGAAATATCTAGACGATGATGATGTCCTGCCTCACAGCTGACTTTCGTGCCAATGACTGCAGTGCATCTCGGCAATGCTAGCGGTAACCCACCAGTGTAAGTCAACCAGCTCTGCATGACGATAAAAAGCATCGTCTCCATCATCGTCTCCATCATGCCCTCTCTCCTTCCCGCTCCACATCTGACACCCACAGGCATCACTAACAGAAGCAAACCCAGCATCAGAGCAGCAGGCCCTGCTTTCTATCCCAGGGCTGCAGGCCTGTGGCCTGAGTGCTTGCAGGCTTGGCCTCATTCTCACAGGCCTGTGGGGTCATGTTAATTAATTCTGTCGTCAGATATCCTGTTGGAAGGAAAGAAGTGTCCAAATGAACAGCACCATGTCTTGCCTTTCTTCTTTGCTTCTCTATTTCTGTCAATGGTCCCAGCATTCTCCCAGATTAAATGAGACTTTAAACACTCGCCTCCCTCCTGTTGACCTCCTATGACTCGCAGAGCTCTGCTGATTCTTCCTTCTCAAGGTATCCAGCTGGGTCAACCTGCTTGGGTTGGGCATGGTGGTTCACACCTGCAATCCAGCATTTTGGGAAGAAAAGTGGGAGGATGGCTTGAGCCCAAGAGTTCAAGACCAGCCTGGGCAACATACTGAGACTTCCCATCTCTACAAAAAAATTTTAAAATTAGTCGTGCATGGTGGCATGCCTGTAGTCCCAGCTATTCCAGAGGCTGAGGCAGGAGGATCACTTAAGCCCAGGAGCTTGAGGCTACAATGAGCTGTGATCTCGCCCCTGCACTCCAGCCTGGGCGACAGAGCAAGATGCTATCTCTAAAAATTAAAACTTTAGAAAAAAAAAGTAAATTGCCTTGCCTAGGGCCCCTCCCCTCCAGCCAGGACTTTCACAGTCAGATGCCAGGTGGCCAACTGGTCTCTATTCTGAAACTGCCTAATCCATCCCCATCCCACACACCACCACAGGAATCATCCCTCATCTTCCCAACATTCCGCCTCAATCCTTTGCTATGCAAAAATTTTCAATGGTTACCCCTTGGCCTAGCAAATGAAATACAAACCCCTAGACTGTGATGATTTCAGGATGAAGTACAAAGGGAAGCAAGGCACGTCTTACATGGTGGCAGGAGAGAGACCTAAGGAGGAAGTACCACTTCTAAACCATCAGATCTTGTGAGGACTCCCTCACTCTCATGAGAACAGCATGGGGGAAACACCTCCATGATCCAATCACCTCCCACCAGGTCCCTCCCTTGACACATGGGGATTACAATTAGAGATGAAATTTGGGTGGGGACGTAGAGCCAAAGCAAATCAAGAGTCTTCCACTTCCCATCTGAGAAAAAGTGACAACAAAACTGAAAATTTGGTACCAATTCTGCTTGGGATTTCATGTATTCTATCAGAACTTTTTTTTTGGGGGGGGGTTTAGTTTTTGGGTGCTGCTTTCTATCTTTGAAATGAATACATATTTACTACTCTCAAAAGCTTTTTGTTAGGATACATGTGCTTACATTAACTATCTAAAATACTTGGCATTTCTATAAAATAAAGCATTTTTATTGTTTTAGAGGGAAGGGAATACCTGTTGTTTTCCTTAATCTTTCCTCTTGTGAAAATAGTACAATTTGATGCCCCTAAAAAGATACCAAATGCCTACAATGTAGCAAGGACTTTGCCAGGCACTAGAAACCCATTTGGAGCTCAGGTAGCATCCCTACCTTCACGGAGCTTTAAGTTTGCTACGAAAGAAAGACAAGTAAATGGACCATTACCTGATATGAGGACAGTGTTACAATGGAGGCAACACTGATGCTACTGGGGAACAGAATAGGCAGCGAGGTTACCCTGGGTTTCTGAAGCAAGGATTCCTACACCAGTGCCTTTCACAGGTAAATATACAAATGCATCACCGGGGGATCCAGCTTCCATGCACATTCTGATTCAGTGGGTTTGCAGCGGGGCCTGGGAGCATTTCTTTATTTCTTTTTTTTCTTTTTTTTTTTTTTTTTTGTGATGGAGTCTCCCTCTGTCACCCAGACTGCAGTGCAGTGCAGTGTTGCGATCTCAGCTCACTGCAACCTCCACCTCCCAGGTTCAAGCAATTCTCCTGCCTCAGCCTCCCAAGTAGCTGGGATTACAGGCACGCGCCACCATGCCCGGCTGATTTTTTGTATTTTCCTCATAGAGACGGGGGTTTCACTGTGCTGGCCAGGCTGGTCTCAAATTCCTAACCTCGTGATCTGCCCACCTAAGCCTCCCAAAGTGCAGAGATTACAGGCATGAGCCACTGCACCTGGCCCTGTGAGCATTTCTAATCCACTCCCAGGAGATACTGCTGTGCTGGTCTAAGGACCACACTCAGAGTAGCAAGGGGCCCAAAAGACTAGACCCCAACACTGAGGCCACATCAGTGGGGAACAACTGCATTTTGGGAGAGGAGATGATGGAAAAACAGCCAGATGTGAGACCTACAACACTGACCACTCCTGTCCTCATGGATCTTTTTTTTAATTGACATGAAGTCTCACTCTGTCACCCAGGCTAGAGTGCAGTGACGCAATCTCGGCTCACTACAACCTCCGCCTCTGGGTTCAAGTTATTCTCCTCTCTCAGCCTCCTGAGTAGCTGGGAAGCACAGGCATGCTCTACCACGCCTGGCTAATTTATTTTTTATTTTCTTTTTGTTGGCCAGATTGGCGTTGAACTCCTGGCCTCAAGTTACCTGCCCTCCTCAGCCTCCCAAAGTGCTGCTGTCCTCATGGATTTTTTTTTTTTTTTTTTTTGAGATGGAGTTTCACTTTTGTTGCCCAAGCTGGAGCACAATGGTGCGATCTAAGCTCACTACAACCTCTGCCTCCTGGGTTCAAGCGATTCTCCTGCCTCAGCCTCCTGAGTAGCTGGGATTACAGGTGCACACCACCACGCCCAGCTAATTTTTGTATTTTTAGTGGACGGTGGGGTTTCACCATGTTGGCCAGCCTGGTCTCAAACTCCTGACCTCAGGTGATCCACCCATCTCGGCCTCCCAAAATGCTGGGATTACAGGTGTGAGCCACTGCGCCCAGCCCCTCATAGATCTGAAAAAGGTAAATGAAGAGGAGGAAAAAAAAATTAACGGCATCTACAAAAATATCAATCATCTTGGAGGTGTGAGGTGACTTTCTTACACAGGTTTAAGCGCTCTTGGATTCAGAGTAATTCAAAGATGACAAATCTAAACTATTTACAAGTCTGAGTTATAAAATATATATATATACTTTTTTTGAGACGTAGTCTCACTCTGTCGCCCAGGCTGGAGTGCAGTGGCGCGATCTCAGGTCATTGCAACCTCCACCTCCTGGGTTCAAGCAATTCTCCTGCCTCAGCCTCCGGAGTAGCTGGGATTACAGGTACATGCTACCACATCCAGCTACTTTTTGTATTTTTAGTTGAGATGCGGTTTCACCATATTGGTCAGGCTGGTCTCAAACTCCTGACCTCATGATCCTCCTGCCTCGGCCTCCCAAAGTGCTGGGATTACAGGCGTGAGCCACCATGCCCGGCCTAAAATATTTTTAAAAGTAGTTACCTCAAGTACTTGTAGAGTCTTGAACCTACGGGAGGGTCACTGCCACATCCACTTAAGTGACAAGGTCACTACTGCCATTGGACACACTGGTTTCGAGCACTTAAAAATATTCCTTTTCCTAGGTAAGTTTTGTAATACGTTCACCACACAATTTTTTTTTTTTTTTTTTTTTTGAGACGGAGTCTCGTTCTGTCACCCAAGCTAGATAGAGTGCAGTGGCACGATCTCGGCTCACTGCAAGCTCCACCTCCCGGGTTCACGCCATTCTCCTGCCTCAGCTTCCCGAGTAGCTGGGACTACAGGCGCCCGCCACCAAGCCCGGCTAATTTTTTTTTTTTTTTGTATTTTTAGTAGAGATGGGGTTTCACCGTCTTAGCCAGGATGGTCTCAATCTCCTGACCTCGTGATCTGCCTGCCTCGGCCTCCCGAAGTGCTGGGACTACAGGCGTGAGCCACCGCACCCCAGCACCACACAATTTTTAAGAGTAGTAGAAAAGATACATTTCAATTGGACTTGTATGCCGAGTAAACAGAGTTCGAAATAACAAGATTTTCTGTAATCAATGTACAAGATGCCATTTGAAAAAAGACACTATGAAAAATTCTAAAATGACATGTTGATATGATTGTTGTTTTATTTAAAATAACTACAATTTATGCAAGTAAGTGAATGCTGTTTGCTACCAAAAAAGGAAATTAAAGGTCCACACTAATTGAATGATTGAGTATAGAGAATACAGGAGTCTGAAACATACACCCTGAAAAGTTTCATTGCCATGTAGACCATCTGTTCATCCGACTCAGCAACAATACCATGGAAATCTTCAGGTAGATTTCTTGAGTCAGTATTTTCTTCAGAACAGTTTCCATTTGGAAGTTTATATTACACTCCTTGTCGCTGTGATATTTACAAAGAAAAAAAAACTTTCCCACTCTAAATCGCCTTTTAAAGAGGCATATTATCTTTTTGAAAAAGTTGTATTAACTGAATAATAATAATGGACTTAATAATAACAGTGGTGACTATTCCCAAAACGAATTCCCTCCGGGAGGCAAAGCACGCACATCTGCATAAGGAAACACTGTATCACTTACTTAGTTGACTGTTTCAGAAAGTCCACACTACTGGACATATACCCCTAGGAAATTATTTCAATAAGCAGCATACTCATAGACACTGCTTGTCGTTCAAAAGCAGCTTGCTGATCTGTTCCTACAATCTTCTATAAGGTTTTAAGAAAAGAAGCACTCAAAACAAAACAAAAAAAGATGAATAAAAAAAAGAAAGAATACTGAAAAAGAAAAAGGCTGACTCTGGGCACATGGCCTAGGCGTTAGCCCTGCTCTGCAACCAGGAAGAAAGGTGAGGGGAGGGAGGGAGGGAAAGAGGGAGGAGGAGAGAGAGAGAGAAAATGAAAGAAAAGGAGAGAGAAAAGAGGAAGGAAGGAAAGGAAAGGAAGGGGAGGGGAGGGTGAGGGGAAGAGGAGCAGGAGGGGAAGGGGAGGGGAGAAGGAGAGGAGGGGAGAGGAGGGGGAGAGGAGGGGAGGGGGAGAGGAGGGGGGAGGGGTGGGGAGAGGAGGTGGAGGGGAGGGGGAGGGGTGGGGGATGGGACGGGAAGGGGGGACGGAGAAGGGTAGGGGAGGGGAAGGGAGGGGAAGGAAGGGAAGGGAGGGGCAGGAAGGGAAGGGAAGGAAAGAGGGAGAGAGGGGGAGAGGGAGGGAGGGAGGGAGGGAGGGAAGGAAACAGGGAGAGAGGGAGGGAGGGAGGGAAGGAGGGCAGGAAGGCAGGAAAGCAGACAGGCAGGCAAGGTGGGAGGGCGGGCAGGCCTAACTGAGAGTGGGTCCCAGAACAAATCAAACTTCTAACCACTCTATAGACATATTTAAAGGAAAGCTCAGTAAAAGTGGCCCCCACCTACAATGTGCCATGTTCTGAATCCAACAGAACATGGAACCAGTCAAAAACAGAGCCCACAAACAGATTTGCCTCCTAAGTTTTAACATAATCCCAGGTATCTTGACCATTCTGATTCAAGCTCGAAATTCGAGGCACTCTCTGAAATTTGCACTCTGCCGTGCTTTAGGGCTGCCCACCCCGTTGCTGTACCAAGTGGCTTTGCCCTGGAAGAGGTCCTACCAGGATTAAACAAACGACGACATCAACAAAAAGAAACCACACGTTCACAGGCAGCAAATCTGGTGTGGATTTGTGGATATGCAATTCAAACCATTTTAAAGTAAATAGCTGCATTATCACTTGGCTCTAAACCCAGCAAGAACTCATTAGAAAGAACACTGAACACCTGCGTGAAAACTTCTTTCCACAAGTTTACTTTTCTACCTAGAAAAATGTGCGTACACCTGTAGAGAAATGAGTCACGGAGGAAGACACCATGGCTTCTTGGACAGCCTGGCTTATCCCCCAAACCGTGAACGTCTCTAGATGGTTTTCAGCTCATCGGCTGCCCCATCCCTGCCTTCCCCACTCTATGCCATCCCTCGGGATGACCCAGTGTCCCCCAGACTCGCTCTGTTGTCCATCATGGTACGTGGGAAAGCTGCCTCCCTTTGTTTCTAGAACATCTTGGAAAGCTACAGAGAAAGCAAAGGATCAAACAGGACAGAGAAGGAACAGCACAGCTCTCAGGCCTGCAGCTGAAGGAGAGGATGGAAAAGGTCTTTCTGGATTATGACCTCACACCAGAGTAGCATTTGCCGTATTTTCTAGATCATTCCACGATCTGTAACTGGTTTCTTCCCACTGCACTTCCGAGAAGTAGTATCTTCATTGTATTCACAAGAAACTGGCACACTGGGCCACAATCATTAGATACACCTCAAATGAGAGCAAAGCCTCTCCAATGTTTAACCTGTACTGCAGGCTCGGCGACGGGCCTCTGAGCTCTGTTCTAGTGAACAGCAGAGCACTGGAGGCAGCTTGGAGCAGCATACGACGGCAATCCAAGCAGCTGGAAAAAACACTGCATCGCTGCCAGGGAGGGGAAGTCAGAAAGAACAGCGCATCTAATTGAAATCACCAGGGGAATTTCTGAAACCAGATTCAATATCCCATTGTGGAATCTGGCCAACCTACTGGGGTAGCTTCTTCAGTCCTGTGCAACATACCAAGGACCTCTGCAAGATGAGGAAGAGTTACTTTCCCGCATTCTCCTGAAAGAGGCTCTGCAAGTATGGTTATGTGGAAAGAGTTCTGAATTCGAAGGTCAGAAACCATCCTTCTGGCTCCGCGTCTGCCCGGCTTAGCTCCATGACCTCGGGCAATCACTTTACCTCTCTGCACCCCTTTCCTCATCTGAAAGTCTAGAGAACTGGACCAAGATGTCTAAGTTCCTTTTCTAGTTCTAATGCTCTGGTGACTCTAACATTAAGAGAAGCAGACGGTCAGATAACCGAGGAAAGCAAGAGTTTTCACAGGAGTTTAGTCAGCAAGAAAAATGGTGAAACTGATGTATCCTTGGCAACTCTGCAGCAGTGTTGGGTCTATGACAGCAGCAGCCTCACCCCTGGAAGAAGGCCGGCCACCTCATCGCTGCTGCCTCTGTCTCCTATTTCAAGAAGGGCTCCCTTAGGCTTCAACAGGGAGCCTTAGGGAGACGACACTTGCGTGATGTGACTTCTGGGAAGGAACCTTCCCCCTATTCCCGCTGTCTAGCAAGATGTCCCTTACACATAATAATAATGTACACAGCAAACATTTGGAGAGCCCACACTATGTGCCAGGCATGCACTGACTGTTTGATCCCTACAACGACTATTGGAGGCAGATACTATTATCATCCCCATTATCCTGAAAATGGGGGCTGAGAGTTGAAATGACTTGCCCAAGGTCAAGTAGCTTCTAAAGCAGGAGTCTGATGCAAACTCAGATGAGCTGATTCTCAGGACTTCACCACACTGTATCCTGCCTTTCTAGTAGCTGAGAAGCCACAGTTACGGATTTATTCTTTCACCATTAGTGAACACCTCCTACCTAGAGTGGGCTATTGCCTATATCAAGGAGAAGCGGCCCCTTTCTTCACAAGAGAACACAGGGACAGCAGACGGGTCAAATCATATTGGAAAGAGACACACAGACCTGGGTAACTTCCTCTCCACATATTACCAGTTATGTGGCCCCTAAAAATGTCTTAAATAAGTCCAAATTCCTCATCTGTGAAATGCAGATCATAATATCCACTTTACAGGTTTATGGTGACGATTAAATGAAACAATGCTTGTAGAAGTCACTTGTTGCTAACTTTAAAACCCTTGAAGGTACATTTACTAAATGAAGCAAAAGTACATTTTGTTCTTCAATAAAAAGATATACAAAACTGAGATGTCGCCAGGCGCGGCAGCTCACGCCTGTAATTCCAGCACTTTGGGAGGCCGAGGCGGGCAGATCATCTGAGGTCAGGAGTTCGAAACCAGCCTGGCCAACATGGTGAAACCCCGTCTCTACTAAAAATACAAAAACTAGCCAGGCATGGTGGCAGGCACCTGTAAACCCAGCTACTTGGGAGGCTGAGGCAGGAGAATCAATTGCTTGAACCTGGGAGGCGGAGGTTGCAGTGGGCCGAGTCGTGCCACTGCACTCCAGCCTGGGTGACAGGGTGAGACTCCATCTCAAAATAAAAAATAAAAATTAAAAATACGGAGATGTATGTAGGTATTTATTCGTTTTCAGAGACAGGGTCTTGCTCTGTCACCCAGGCTGAAGTGCAGTGGCACAGTCATAGCTCCCTAAAGCCTCAAACTCCTGGACCCAAAGGATCCTCCTGCCTCAGCCTCCCAAGTAGCTGGGACTACAGGCACATGCCACTACACCAGGCTAATTTTCTTTGATTTTCCATAGAGACAGGGTCTTGTTATGTTGTCCAGGCTGGTCTTAAACTCCTTGCCTCAAGTGGTCCTTCTATCTCAGCCTCCCAAAGTTCTGGGACTACAGGCATGAGACACTGTGATTGGCCTCCAAGACATATTTACAATGTGTGTATATGCATATTTATTTACACACCTACATATAGTACATTTACATGTGTGTATACTTAGGTCATCAGTTCTACAGCTTTTGACAAGAACCAAAAACACTACATCTATTGCAGCACTGTATTTCTTAAAAGATACCCTTTTATGTGTTTGTATCCCAAGTGATACCTCCTACTTATCCATATCATATAGTCAAAACTATTTTTTAAATATTCATAACAGAAAAATGCAAATAGCTAAAAAATGGATATTAATCCATTTACCAAATTCTATCCAACTATTACTTTAGAAAAAATTTATTCCCCCAAACCTGGCTTCAGACCAATCATCAGAGCCTCTGACCTCAACTTTAAGCTTTGAGAAAAACAGTTATATAGCTTAAAAACAGTAAACAACTCTTCAAACTACTCAAACGATAGCCCTGGACTTCACACATGTGAAATGAAATTTGTTAATCCAATTACATACAACTTAAAATACACAGTGAGTCATAAATAAAGCTTCACTAAAATAATTCATTTGCCATATGAATCATGCCAAAACCACATAGAAGACAGAACGGACACAACATAAAGCTTAACAGAAAAAAAAAAATTGAATCTTTGGTGTCTATTTCTTTTTCTATATCTGCCATCTTAGTCCATCTCAGGCCTACTTGCATTTAATCTTTCATTAGTGTGGTTCTCCAATGTAAGCTATTCTGACTTTTTAAAAATATTAGCCTATGAGAGAGAGAGAGAGAGAGAGAGAGAGAGAGAGACAGAGAGAGAGAGAGAGAGAGAGAGAGACATCTAGACAGACAGATCTATCTATCTAGATAGATATCTAGATAGATAGACAGACAGACTGCTCTTCAAATCATTTAACTGGAATCTGTATAAATCATTAGCTAAGTAAGTTTACAGAAGAAAGGGGAAAGATCTGCCAAGATATATTATTAGAGGAATTTAAACCACCAACTAGTCCACATATTAGCTGAACTCCCATGTAAATATCCACATTAGATGACAGAGATGGCACAAGGAAATAAACATGCAAAGACGCAACACTGGTTTTAAAAGTGTGATAAAACACATTGTTTCTTCAACTACTCTAAATATCTACAGAGTAATATGTATAGTATACAAGGTGGCAGGAGAGGCCAGACCAGATTTAAGTATACTCTGTTGCCATAAAGGAATCCTCATTCTCTCTCTCCCTCTCTCTCCCTCTCTCTCTCTCTCTCTCTCTCTCTCTCTCTCTCAAACCTTCCGCCTCTTCTGGAATGCCCCATATTGGTTGAGGAACCTGCCATCCACTTGGTCAATGTAATGGATAATTTTATGTGTCAACTTGACTGGCCTAAAGGATGCCCAGACAGCCGGTAAAACAGTATTTCTGTATTTCTGGTGTGTCTGTGAGGGAATTTCTGGAAGAGATTAGCATCTGAATCAGCAGACTGAGTAAAAAGATTATCCTCACCCGTGTAAGCGGGTATGTTCAAATCCATTGAGAGCCAGAATAGAAGAAAAAGGCAGAGGAAGAATCAATTTGTTCTTCTTCCCTTTTTTTTTAGAGACAGAGTCTCACTCTGTTGCCCAGACTGGGGTGCAGTGGTGTCATCACAGCTCACTGCAGCCTCGACTCCTGGACTCAAGTGATCTTCCCACCTCAGCCTCCCAAGTAGCTGCAGGTATAGGTGCGTGCCGCTACACCTGGTTTTTCTCTCTCCTGGAGCTAAGACATCCATCTCCGGCCCTTGGACGTCGGCTCCCCTGGTTCCCAGGTCTTTGGCCTTGGGCCAAGTCCAGTTGGCTTTCCCGGGTCTCCAGTTTGCAGATGGTGGATTGTGGAGCTTCTCAGCCTCCAGAATTACATGAGCCAATACCTCATAATAAATCTTTTTGTGTATCTACATATATCCTATTGCTTCTGTTTCTTTGGAGAACTAATACAGTCACCAAAGCCAGAGAGAACTGGAAGTCAGCATAGATTCCTCCCTTCCACTAAACCTTCTTTGCCTAATCAGCACCCAGTCCCAGGGTTTCTAACATCCTTAATTTTACCTGAGTTCCCCTAATCCTTGCCTCCATTCCCACCATGTTGCCTTTAGTTCAGGGCTAGATTCAGGAAGTCCACAGTTTGGAGCAGCAGAGATCCCATGGCACAGTCAGGAATGATAGAAGCAAACCTTGGTGCCGTGGAATCTCAGAGGGAAGGGCCCATCCAGACAGGAAATCAAGAGGTGTCCTGAAGGAGGTGTGTGTCAAACTGCAGCAGGAAAGATGCAATTATCTGTTCCTTTCAGGAGAACTAAACTGAAACATGGGGTGAGGGGTGGGAAGATGAAAACCAAAGAGGTAGATCACAAAGTCGGGGGCTCGTTTGCAAATGAGTTTGGATTCTATTAAGCAGGGGACTTTTTGGAATTAAGGTAGTGAGGGTGACTATCAGACAGGCATTTAAATACTCATTTGCACAGTGCTGTGGGAGAAGGAACTAAAGAAAGGGAAACTGCCATGCTTTGAGCGTGTCCTCCAACAGTTCATGTGTTGGAAACGTAAATCCTCAATGCAGCAGTGCTAGGAATTGTTTCAGTCATGAGGGATCTGCCATCATGTAGGGATGGATGCAGTTCTCATGGGACTAGGTTAGCTCTAACAAGAGCAGGTTGTTTTAAGGGGGGGTGGTCTCTTCACCTCCCCTTTCTTTGCACACACTCACTTGCCCTTCTGCTTTTCTGCCATATGCCATAAAGCAGCACAAAATCCTCACCAGAGGCAGCCACCCGATCTTGGACTTCCCAGCCTGCAGAATGTGAGCTAAAGAACCCTGTTTCCTTTGTAAATTACCTAGGATCAAAGTATTATGCTATAGCAACAGAAAATGGAATAAGACACTAACATCCACAAGAACCACACCAGGTGCACTATTTGGGAAGCAGAAACCCTAGGCAGGAAGAGGCCCCAGAGATACATGGACCCTGGAGAGATAAACCAACATGCCTACTCAAGATAGTTTCAATTCCTTGTTTTGTAGTATGGGATATAACCAACTGTATTTTCCTTCAATTCAGGGAGTGCTATAAGCAATGTCCAAGAAATTAACAGAAATGCATTGATTCTGGATCTCAAACCAAATTTAAAATGTTTTTGATTTTTGCAAGGGACAAAACACCATGAGAAAGCCACTAGAAGCACCAAATATATTCTCTCTTGTCTAGAAAGTTGCACTGGCATTAGACCACTTCTATTTCCTCTTACAGACATGCACAGTTAGGATGAAATAAACAACGATCACCAAATAATGGTCAGAAACAAAGCTGAGTTTACTGCCAACCAGGCAGGGGAAGTCTCCGGACTTAGGGGAAAGTTCAGCACAGCTCCCAGAATACGAAAGTGTAGGTATGCAGCAAAAAGGAGGAAGGACACTAAATAAGGCGGGACTCTGAACTGCTAAGGAAGGGCCATCATTATGGAAGACCTGTCAATGTCAACTCTTCTCGGTGATTAAAGGCTTCGCAGAGCCCGGTTTTCACAGGTCCAGGGTGTATTGTGTTAAGATTCCAGAAAGCCTAAGCTCATTCAGCAGACAGGCTCACATGTACGTGCCCAAAGCTTGGCAAGTTTTCGGCTTTAACCACGCACACCACCGCCACCACCATCACTAAATAACTTACTGCATCCCTCAAAGCCTGTTTTATGGGGATTGCATGGTTTTATTTGAAATCACGCCTGTAATCCCAGCACTTTGGGAGGCCAAGGCAGGCAGATCACAAGGTCAGGAGATCGAGACCAATCTGGCTAACACGGTGAAACCCTGTCTCTATTAAAAAAAATACAAAACAATTAGCCAGGCATGGTGGCAGGCGCCTGTAGTCCCAGCTACTCGGGAGGCTGAGGCAGGAGAATGGCGTGAAGCTGGGAGGCGGAGCTTGCAGTGAGCCGAGATCGCACTGCTGCACTCCAGCCTGGGTGACAGAGCGAGACTCCATCTCAAAAAAAAAAAGAAAGAAAGAAAGAAATCAAGGTAACTTTCAATATGGTTTCCCAAGGTATCCAAGTGTCTAGAATTGTAAGATATGCACCTGCCTCCCTATGTGTCATCATAAGTAAGGCTTTCAACCGTTACTTTTCACATTTCCTGCTTGTGTTCTCCATTCCAGTGCGAGCTTTCCAGAGAGGAGCTCTCTCTCTTTTAGACCCTTCTAAGCAGCTCAGATTGATCCTTAAAAAGCTGTATTGGTGCCTGAGAAATTCAAGGACTAGCTTTACCAGCTTAGCCATTTTCAGTCATTGGCAAAGTGGTTATCTTCAGCCCCAATCAATGAATTTCTTTTTTTCTTTCTTCTTCTTCTTTTTTTTTTTTTTTTTCCGAGATAGAGTTTTCCTCTCGTTGCCCAGGCTGAAGTGCAGTGGTGCGATCCTGGCTCCCTGCAACTTCCACCTCCTGGGTTCAAGCAATTCTCCTGTCTCAGGCTCCCGAGTAGCTGAGATTACAGGCGCCCACCACCATGCCCGACTAATTTTTGTATTTTTGGTAGAGACGGGGTTTCACCACGTTGGCCAGGCTGGTCTCTAACTCCTGACCTCAGGTGATCCGCCCGCCTCGCCTTCCCAAAGTGCTGTGATTACAGGCGTGAGCCACCGCGCCCGGACCCCAATCGATGAATTTCTATTGAAGTGTCAGTTTCTCTAACAGGCACAAAGACTGGCACTTGGCAGTGGTTTAAACAAGTGAACAGGGCCAGCCTCCCTTCAGAACAAAGCCGCAGGAGCAGGGGCAGGCTAGATTTCCAGAGTTCATCGACGTCAAAGCCTTTCTCTGGGGGCTGTTCCCTAATCCCAAAGCAGTTGCTTTCTTTGGCTGCAGAAGCTGCCCTCCCTCTGGTCCGCATTGAGAGGAAGGTGTCTGCCTTAAGGTAACTGGAGGATAAGGCTCCGCCCTTCCCATGACAGAGGTGCTAACTCACTCTCCCACCACACATCCTGCCATCCATCCTGACTTCGGCCCCAGGGATTTCAGGGACTCCAGCCCAGCATCCTGGGCTTTGGCACCTGCTGCCTTTAGCAGTCCTCACCCTCTTGTGAAGTACTTGGCACTGCAGCGTGCTGACTCGACCACACCCTACCCCAGCCTCCCCAGGCCTGGCACTGCCACTACTGCCCGTACTTCTTCAGCCACCCTTGAGAAGCGAGGTTCTCACTCCTGAGCCCAGTCAGTGGCTGGTGCCTGCTCCTCAATGATGGGATGATGGACTCAAGTCAATTCACCACTCTCAAAACAAAACTCAGCTCTTCCAAGGGAGCACATCTGAGTTCGCTCCTCTCAATGAAGCCTCTCCTGAAGGAAACATTGCCTGGCTTGTGTTTCTGCCTGCGGACACATCTGTACACATCTGCCCACACTCCTAGTCATCATACGGAGCAGCTCCACCCTGGGAGGTGAAATCAGCGGACAAGGGCTGGAGAGTGGTTGTTCTGACATCACACTGATTATGAGTTAGGATCAGTGGGTGGCGGGTGGGGGAGATGCTTTTTCAATTTTCCAGCACCTGCCATTACCTCCAATTCTGACTCGATTGGTCGTGAATGGGGCCTGCGCATCAGCATAATATTTTTGTTTTTTCCTTTTATTTATTTTTTTAGAGATGGTGTCTCAGTCTGTCACCCAAACTGGAGTACAGCCTCAAACTCCTCGGCTCAAGCAATCCTCCCACCTCAGCCTCCAGAGTAGATGGGACTACTGGCAACCACCACACCTGACTAGTTTTTTAATTGTTTTATAGAGACAGAGTCTCACTATGATGCCCAGGCTGGTCTTGAACTCCCAGCCTCAGACAATCCTCCTGCCTCAGCCTCCCAAAGTGCTGCAATTACAAGCATAAGCCACTCACCGTGCCCGGCTAATCAGTATGATTTTAAGAGCTTCCTAGGTGATTTTAAGGTGCAGCCAGGGCTGAGAAACACTGATTTGGAGAGAAAGAGGCAGAGACCATCATCTGAGACTCCTCAGTGTACCCAGATAGACGAAAACATGCCAATTCAAATCAGTTCCTGCCAGGGTCACTTCCCCAAGGCAAGACAATCTCTGCAGCTTACAAAGCAGGCATCAGAACAGCATGTTGAATTCTGGTGCCATGTTTCATTCAGACAGTACCCCTTCCACCAAACTGAGCCTCAGTTTTTCCAACTATTAGTAAATGGGCTGCTCCAGACACAGCTGGTTTGCTTCTCTCAGCCCCCACTTTCCAATCTATGCATCCCCCTCTCTCTTCACCTCTCATTTAAATGTAGACTGTTGATATATTTGCCTTTCTACTCCTGCAAAAGTACTTTAAGTGCTACCTTGAAATTATTGTATTTTTTTTTTTTGAGATGGAGTTTTGCTCTTGTTACCCAGGTTGGAGTGCAACGGCACGATCTCGGTTCACTGTAACCTCCACCTCCTGGGTTCAAACAATTCTCCTGCCTCAGCCTCCCAAGTAGCTGTGATTATAGGTATGCGCCACAACGCTCAGCTAATTTTTGTAGTTTGAATAGAGATGGGGTTTCACCACCTTGGCCAGGATGGTCTCAAGCTCTTGACCTCAAGCAACCCACCCACAGCAGCCTCCCAAAGTGCTGGCTTACAGGTGTGAGCCACCGTGCCGGTCAAGTTTTGAAATTAGATGTCAGCAGTGCCTGCCCTCGAAATAAATAATGCCACAGAAATCATAAACTCTGTAATCCAACCCAAAGAGAATAACACCGATGATGTTTATTCCATACCGCATAAAATACTCTGTTGTGGGATCACAACTAACTGTTCTATCTAGAGTAGCTTATGCTGAATTTTCTAGATCCAGCCGCTGATGCCAGAGCAAGGCTGCCGGTCCTCACAGCTGCAGAGCAACAGCCTACCTCCATGTTTATCAGAATGTTTCCCTCTGAGCTTCATTTAATATCTACTGATCAAGTAGAAAATTCATTTTGAAACAATTTCCAGAGCAAGTACAAAGACATCCTTAAGGACATGTTAGCTACATCACTTCAGTCCAGTGAAATAAATAAATTTCTCAGCCTACAATAAACTCAGCATAAAGGGGGGCAGGCAGTCTTTCCAATGGGCCGGCTTAGCAGTCCCCTGGTGGTCCAGCAGCTGGGATTCAAATGGGCCTACTTCCATGGAAAATAGCGTGGAAATAAACCAATGGCCAGGAAACAAACACAAATAGCGTGGAAATCAACAAACAGTCAGGAAATAAGCAAAAATAGTGTGGAAATCAACAAAGACGTTGGAATTTAAGGCAGTCTATTTGGGATCCTGTCTACAATGACTTAGTCATGAAAATCATCAAAAGACTTTTTTCTTTTTTCTTTTTTTTTTTTTTTTTTTGAGATGGAGTCTCGCTCTGTCGCCCAGGCTGGAGTGCAGTGGCGCGATCTGGGCTCACTTCAAGCTCTGCCTCCCGGGTTCACACCATTCTCCTGCCTCAGTCTCCCGAGTAGCTGGGACTACAGGCGCCCACCACCATACCCGGCCAATTTTTTTGTGTATTTTTAGTAGAGACGGGGTTTCACCGTATTAGCCAGGATTGTCTCGATCTCCTGACCTCGTGATCCACCTGCCTCAGCCTCCCAAAGTGCTGGGATTACAGGCGTGAGCCGTGGCACCCGGCCAGGACTTTTTTCTTACATGCTGTGTCTGAAAAACTTTACCAATCAGCAAGTCCAGATCACAATCTGAGTTCCAGAACTGGACAGTCAACTGGACCTCTCTACCAGGGCATCCTCCCAACCCCCAAGTTCAGCATGTCCAGACTCTTGACCTGCCCTCCCGCTCTGGTATTTCTGTTCTCAGTGAATGGGGTCATCATCCACCCAGGCATCCATGTCAGAAACTCGGCAGCCCTCCTGGAATCCTCCGTCTCCCTCCCTGCTCTCCCCATTCCTTCCGAATCTCTAAGTCCTACAGATTCCACTGTGTTCACACACTCATAACTGTTTCTTCCATCCCAACTCCAGAGCTTCTGTGTTAATGTGCTGCTTCTTCATTTCTCCACCAGATTCTTCCAACAGCCTCCTCACTATTCTCCCTACATACATAGAGTCCTGGCCCCCCAGTCCATTCTTCTCAGTTCTGCCGCAACAATCTTCAAAAATTAATCTTGATCATGTTGCTCCTTTCATCAAAACCCTCCGATGGCTCCCCCGTGTCTAGAGGATGAAGTTCAAAGTGGGTACACAAGGCCCTCCACAATCCCACCTCTCCAACCTTAGGTGTCTCCAGGCCTCCCCCTGAACCCTTTGCCCTGGAGAGTTCCCCAGCACACCAGCCTTTCTGTCTCCTATCTCCTGACCTCTGTTTGGGCTGCCACTTCTGGATGGAATGTCCCTCTGCGTTTCTGACCCTGCAAACTATGCTCATTGTCCAGGCCCTCCTCCTCCATGAATCCTCTCCTCCCATCCCACCCCAAAGGAAGAAGACAGCACCCCCTACCCTTGAGGCCCTGGCCATGCTACTACACAGCATCTGCAATGCCACTGCACGTACTTAGTGACAAAACTGTGAGCTCCCAGAGGGCAAGGAGAGCACCTTATCTAAACTCAGTGCCCAGCAGTGCGGCCTGCTGCACAGTGAGAATTTAATAAATATTTGTTAAATGAATGAATGTCTCCATGACAACATTCTGAGTGGTTTCAAACTATTTTCTTTCTAGCTCATTGACTTTGCTTTCAGCTGCTCATGATGTGGAACTGCCTCTTACTCCATATGTAAATCATTTGCAGAGGACCAAAAAAAAAAGTCAGTGCGGGAGTTACTATAGATCACCTTCGCATCCCTGGAGAAATCACTTCTTTGTTCTTGACTCCTGAAAGAGGGGTCACGCTTCCAGGTACTCCAGCAGCGGATACTGAACAACTATCAAAACAAGTTATTCCAGCCCTCTGGCCCTCCTTGGTTTTTAAATGCCCTCTCCCTGGAAGTGATTATTTGAGTGAGGCGCAGGGTGAAGACAATTAAAGCAGACCATCCACGGCATCAACAGGACTGGTTTATAAAGCCTGCATCCATGGCCTCTGCTCATGCAAATGAAAAATAATGCTAAAAAATGAAACTGACTTCCTCCCCTTTTGTACTTCTCAGCCCTAAGGGAATCACACCAAAATACAGTCATCACCCTCGATCCATCAACAGACAGCCCCTGTGCCCAACGTAAAACCTTTGGAAGGCTCTGGGCCCACCCAGAATTCAATCTACAATGTCAAATATCTGTAATGTGTCTGCAACTTAATGTCACCAGCAAATAACTTCTTCTCCAAGTACTGATTTCACATTGGAAAATGAGCAATTTAAATAAATGTCTCATTAACATCGTGTTTTCCTGCTAGATGCTAATATACTTAATTTGTTTTCCCAGATTCTCTTCCATACAATCATTTCCTGCAATCCTCCTCAGGACAACCTGAAACTCACTGGGTTCCTAATAGACAATCCAGAGAACCTAGAAACGACCAAACTACCAAACAAATAAGCAAAACCCTTAAGCTACAAAGTTAAAGAGACCTGTTTGTTCTCAAACACTTATCCCGCATGCTGTAGCTTCTTCTGTGAGTTACACAAAGGTCAGAAGAGGACAGACTGTCCTGGCCCTCTCAGCAGTGCTGGGTTTGTGCAAATGATGGCTGAACATCGTTGGGTGGACACTGCTGGTCCCAGTAAGAGAGGAGTGGGCGAGACGGTTTATTCAGAAAGAATGTGAGGAGCGTGACATTTTGTGTTGAGGCCCTAGAAGGCTTGTTCTCATTCTGCTTTGCTTATCTGTACAGAGATTCTTGCTATGTGCTGATTCCAAACCCCAAAAATTTCAAGGATATTTCCAACATCTTTTATTAATAGCAACTCTTAAAAATTTCCATAGCACACTGCTCAGACACACTCCAAACATGCAAAATCAGGTACCATACAAGGGCTTGTTCCCCCAAACCTTTGGAGATGACGGGGCAATGGCTTAATCATGACAGTGTGGGGAACGGTGTGGACACCACACTTATGAAAGAACATCGCTGGGATGGATCCAGACACATCAGAATGGTTCTGGGAGCCAGGCGCCATGGCTCATGCCTATAATCCCAGCAATCTGGGAGGCTGCGGTAGGAGGACTGCTTGAGGCCAGGAGTTCAAGACCAGCCTGGGCAACACAGTGAGCCCTCCATCTCTTAAAAAAAAAATTTTTTTTTAATTAGCCAGGCATAATAGCGTGTGCCTACAGTCCTAGCTACTCAGGAGCCAGAGGTGGGAAGATCACTTGAGCTCAAGAGTTGAGGCTGCGGTGAGACAAGACTGCCACTGCACTCCAGACTGGGCAACAGAGCAAGATCCTGCCTGGAGAAAAAAAGAAAAAATGAATGGTTCTATGTGTGCCATTATACAAGAGAGGACTTTCTTATATTTTTGCTCCCCATGTGTAATAGAAATAAATGAAAATCTTGGCCAGGCGCAGTGGCTCATGCCTGTAAACTCAGCACTTTGGGAGGCCAAGGCGGGCGGATCACCTGAGGTCAGGAGTTCAAGACCAGCCTGGCCAACATGGAGAAACCTCATCTCTACAAAAATACAAAAATTAGCTGGGCATGATGGCAGATGCCTGTAATCCCAGCTTCGGGAGGCTGAGGCGGGAGAATCGCTTGAAGCCAGGAGGTGGAAGTTGCAGTGAGCTGAGATTGCGCCATTGTACTCCAGCCTGGGCAACAGAGCGAGATTCTGTCAGGAAAGGAAAGGAGAGGAGAGGGGAGGGGAGCAAAGGGGAGGGGAGTGGGGAGGGAAAGAAAGGAAATAAAAAAAAGAAAGAAAAATCTATTTTATTTCTATTACACACAGTGAGCAAAAATAAAACTCAATGAGGAGGTAAGCACTGAAACAGTGAACTCCACGCAGCCTGCTGGGTGCCAGGCGCCATGTCTGTGGCAGAGAATGGGAGAAACCATCGGAACGTGTGGAAGTAACACTGGCCGGGTTGGTATTCCAGGCTCTGCCACATAGGAGCTGCAAGGCTTTGGACACGTGACTCTATTTTGTGAGCTTCATCACCTTATTATAAATAAAGCAGTAATAACAGCAACAGTACTCACAGCGGTGGCGACAGCACAGACCTTTACTGAGCACTTCCTATGTGGCGAGTGCTGCAGTGAGCACTTCACAAAAACTTAGTAAGCAGCATCTCACCAAATCTTTACAACACCCTGCCAGGGAGACGCCGGTAACTCCATTTTACAGAGAAGACTCAGGGCTCTGTAGCCGGCCCACGGTCACTCGGATATGGTGAGTGGCAGGGTCTCGGTTCACAAGCAAGTCTGCCTGACAGCTGTGCTCTTTGTAATTGAGAACTACTCCCAACCATGGCCGTGAATGTTCTAAGACACGAGAGGTCTATGGGAAAAGTGCTTTGAAAGTTGGTTATCGTTTGCACAGCCTGGGTCCTCTGGGGGCCCCTCTGCCCCCGGGGAAAGTCTGCCTCCGGGGCAGGACTCCTGCAGGACACACGGGCCAGGAGGTAGGGAAGGGAGGAGGGTTGCCCTCCAGCACTTACTTTCTCAGGACGGCTATCTCATTCTCTATGCTGCTTTCCTTGCCCTTCAGCGCCTTCTTAGGGATACACTTCACAGCAAAGAGCTTGCCAGTTGCCTTCTCTTCAGCTAAAACCACTTCGGAAAAGGCCCCGCTGTGAACAAAGAAGGAAAAAAGAACACTTAGATGCAGAAGTCCAGTTTCACAATGGCTCCATTCACCCTACCACCGAAGTTTGAGTAAACAATAACGACGGCACAGTTGTAAGCATTACTGTTACTTTTATCCACCGTGGCTCCTTGCTAAACATCTTTGTGCAAAGAAATACACAGGGGCAGCCCGGCGCAGTGGCTCATGCCTGTAATCCCGACACTTTGGGAGGCCAAGGCGGGCAGACCACCTGAGGTCAGGAGTTTAAGACCAGCCTGGCCAACATGATGAAACCCCGTCTCTACTAAAAATACAAAAAATTAGCCAGAGGTGGTGGCACGCACCTGTAATTCCAGCTACTTGGGAGGCTGAGGCAGGAGAATCGCTTGAGCTTGGAAGGCAGAGGTTGCAGTGAGCCGAGATCGTGTCGCTGCACTCCAGCCTGGGCGACAGAGCAAGACTCTGTCTCAAAAAATAATGATAATAAAAGTTTTTCAAAAAGGAAATACACAGGGGCAAGCAGGCCTTCCTGCAAAGGGACATGCGGATGTGGAGGTCAACACAGTTAGGCCACCTCCCGGTACCACTTGCCACACAACACAGTGGCGTCACTTTGGAGCCAACAAGAACGCTCCCACAAGAGGTTCCTCCTACAGAAAAGGACTGGATCCTTCTGCCGGTGTCAGCTCTCCCACCTCCAAACAGACTAGAAAGTCACACTAAAATCCCCAGGTCCTCACAGGCTTTTTCATCTAGAGGAAATTTCAGAGCGCTCTGCAAACACTGGACTCTTCCCAGCTGGGTAAGGATAGGACTGGGTGTGAGCGGTATTGCAGGTGGTACAGACACAGGGTAATTAATTGGTCATGGGGTGCAAGTGCTCACCGAGCAGCTTGTATCCTTTTTAAACCAAAGAAACTAACAAGCAAGGGCTATGGAGTGGGGAAGACTGTCCTGCCTGAAAATACACATTTCACTCTGCAACGGCAGAGCAACAAACTAAAACCAGAACATCTGGGGCTGGAGAGCCCACTTCTCTGGAGGGGCCCCTTATGATCTGGGAGCCCCAGAGCCAGCACCCCAGGGCCACCTCCTTTGCTGACGGTAGGCAAGGCCTGCGTGCAGAACTCCACTAATAACCCTGGCATGGAACAGCCTCCTCCATCATCTCCGGATCCTCCAGATCCCAGCAACTTGGGCTCTGTGCACAGGGAAGTACCACAGCCCACTGAGTCGTTCTCTGTGCCAAGACTTTCAACTCCTGCTTCAAGAAACCAACGTTCCCGTGTCCAGAGAAACCACTGGAAGCCCCAGTGTTATGGCAATACCAGGTCTTCAGGCCCTACCTTCTTCAGTCCAATGGTCCCCAACCTTTTTGGCATCAGGGACCAGCTTCATGGACAACAGTTTTTCCATGGACCCGGGAGAGGAGGGTGGTTTTGGGATGACTCAAGTGCATTACATTTCTTGTGCACTTTATTTCATTTTTTTGAGACGGAGTCTGGCTCTGTTGCCCAGGCTGGAGTGCACTGGTGTGATCTCGGCTCACTGCAACCTCTGCCTCTCAGGTTCAAGCGATTCTCCTGACTCAGCTTCCTGAGGAGCTGGGATTACAGGTGTCCACCAACACATCTGGCTAATTTTTGTATTTTCACCATGTTTCCCAGGCTGGTCTCGAAGTCCTGACCTCAAGTGATTCACTCGCCTCGACCTCCCAAAGTGCTGGGATTATAGGTGTGAACCACCACGCCCAGCCACTTTATTTCTATTATTATTACACAGTAATGTATAATGAAATAATTCTACAACTTGCCATAACGTAGAAATCAGTGGAAGCCCTGAGCTTGTTTTCCTGCAACTAGTCGGTCCCATCTGGGGGTGATGGGACACAGTGACAGATCATCAGGCATTAGATTCTCATAAAGAGTGTGCAACCTAGATCCCTCGCGTGCACAGTTCACAATAGGGCTCACGCTCCTATGAGAATCTAATGCAGTCCTTGATCTGACAGGAGGCAGAGCTCAGGCGGTAACGTGAACAATGGGGAGTGGCTGTAAGTACAGATGAAGCTTTGCTTGCTTGCCCGCTGTTCACCTCTTGCTGTGTGGCAAAGTTCCTAACAGGCCACATACCCTACCGGTATTGGCCCATGGCCCAGGGGTTGGGGACCCCTACTTTAGTCACTGTCAAAGAGATTCCTGAACAGGGGGAACACCCTTCCTCCTCCTCTCCTTGCCCACCTGACAGCAATGCACACTCTGTCACAATCCAAGGGACGCTAAATGCATGTTTTAAAAATCCTTTCCAGTGAGAGGAATTCACTTCCACTCAGTGCAATTAACTTCAGGACAGCGTTCCCACTGGCACATGGATGCTCACGAGAGAAGCTTGTCTATAGCTTCATGGTCTATTTTTAATTATACAAGCCCAGGGGGCAGAACATAGTCATTCCACAAAATATCCCAGATGAAAAACATCAGAAGCAGGATCTTCTGCCCAAATCCACAAATTATTCACCCATAGGATTCTCCCCTCAAAACACTACAAGCCAGAAGCCAAACCTTCTAGAACCTGCCAGAACAATCATCACTAAATATAAACACATAAAGACCCACCACAGGTTTATCACAGAGGGATACATGGAGTCAGACATTCCCAGTGACACCGGCCATGGCCAACGGCTTTTGTCCAGGAAACCCAAATCATAACAATTCCAGAGACGGCCCCTGAGCCCACGCACCATCCCTCCTCACTCATCTCTAAGCCAGGGGGAGACAGGTGGCTGCACCTCAGAGTTCTTAGGTGGGTCAAGACCCTGAATGAGGAGGTACGTGTTCCCCCTCACTACCCTCCGGGAGGTAGAACAAGAACTATGTTAGAGTAGGAGAAAAATCACTGGGGAAAGACCAAGGTTCAAGCACCATGGGTGGTTTTATACCAGATAAATCATTCATTCTTTCATTCATTCATTCGTTCATTCAGTTTCCCTGTTGGCCACTTGAGTCCCTAATGCTGATGACACCCCAATGGTCCTGAGTTTGTTGGATTTACTAAGTCCATCTTCCAGAAGGCGGAAAAGCCCTTTGGCAGCAGTGACCACAGCCAAGGGCTCGGGCTGGGAACTGCGATCAGGCCCCTCTCCTCCTGGGCTGCCCCTCGCTCCACTCTCCATCCACAGGTGCTCCTTCCTCTACAGAATCCCTGTGATCAGAAATGACCACGGCCAACGCAGAGGGGACAACCTGCTCAATCGGACCCTTGGAAGCCTGTAAGAGAAAAGCATTTCCTCGCTTGGAGGAAACAGTGAGAAGCGAGGTTGCCGCAGGACTCAGCCCGAGAGACAATAGACTGGGGAGGGGAGCGAGGGGTCTCCTCAGAGCCAGCACTGCCACGGCAGGAAGCTGACAACATGGAGAGGCAGTAGTGCCCGTGGAGCTAGGATTTTTCTGCCTTTGTCCCTGGTTAGGTGGGGATGGGCTATGTGGCGCCCCATGGGGAAGGCAGGACAACGGCACGGAGTTATGTCAAGAGAGTCACGTGCTAAACAGCCCAGGCTTGACACAACATGACCAAGGAGTCTCCATCAGAAGATCCTGAGCAGAGTCAGGGAGCCAAGGTTCCAGACCCATTCTCTGCGAATGCAAGTCAGCATGCAACTCCACACCTAGGTCTATACCCAGAAGTGAAAGCAGGGACTGAACAGGTGCGTGGACAACCACATTCACAGAGGCATTATTCACAACAGCCACGTGGTGGCAACAATCCTTGCATCCATTGGGGGACAAATGGATAAAATATGGTCCACACATATAACAGAATAGCCATAAATAGCAATGGAATTCTGACCCATGCTGGAACATGGATGAACTCTGAGGACATTATGCTAAAGGAAATAAATCAGATACAAAAAGCCAAATACCGTATGATTCTACTTACAGGAGGTGTCCAAAGTCATCAAATTCATAGAGAAAGAAAGTAGAACTGTGGTTGCTAGGGACTAGGGGGAGAAGGCAATGGGGAGTTCTGTTTAATGGGGACGGAGTTTCCATTTGGGAAGATGAAAAGGATCTGGAAGCCAGGCACGGTGGCTCATGCCTGTAATCCCAGCACTTTGGGAGGCCAAGGCGGGCAGACCACTTGAGGTCAGGATTTTGAGACCAGCCTGGCCAATATGGTGAAACCCCATCTCTACTAAAAATATAAAAATTAGCAGCGTGTGGTGGCACATGTCTGTAGTCCCAGCTACTCAGCAGGCTGAGGTGGGAGAATCGTTTGAGCCCAGGAGGCGGAGGTTGCAGTGAGCTGAGATCGCGCCTATGCACTCCAACCTTGATGACAGAGCGAGACTCTGTCTCAAAAAAATAAAAAATAAAAAGTTTCTGGAGATGCATGGGGTTGATGGTTGCACAACAATGTGAATGTAGTTGATGCCACCAAACTGTACTCTGTAAAATGGTTAAAATAGGCCGGGCGCGGTGGCTCATGCCTATAATCCCAGCACTTTGGGAGGCTGAGGTGGGAGGATCGCTTGAGCCCAGGAGTTTGATACCAGCCTGGGCAACACAGCAAAATGCTGTCTCTAGAAAAAATTTAAAAATTAGCCAGGTACGGTGGTGTACACCTGTCATACCAGCTACTTGGGAGGCTAAGGTAGGAGGATCACTTGGGCCCGGGAGGTCAAGGCTGCAGTGAGCCATGATCACGGCACTGTACTTCAGCCTGGGCCATAGAGCAAGACCTTGTCCCCTCCTCCCCCAGCAAAAAAAAAAAAAAAAAAAAAAGCTTAAAATGGTAAAGTTTATGTTATGTATATTTCACTGCAATAAAAAGATAAACATAAAAAGTCTGCTTACTTCTAATCAATGATGTTGCCTGAGGATGGACATATTGGAAAAACTAGATAAACCTTTTCACTCAATACCTCCCTAAAGGAGAAAAAAATTATATCAACTGTAGGGTGCCAGCTGGTGTCAGTGACTTGATATTTACAAAGGACTTTGGCATGTATCAGTGAATCCACTCCTTACAGCGACCCCATGAAGCAGACAAGAAGTTACTGTCATCTCCATTTTAGAGATGAGGATACTGAGTCCCATCACACAAGTGGTAAAGGACAGAAAATAGAACTCGGTTTCCTACTGCCTCCGAGGCCCTTTCTCAATGTGTCACGCTGGGCTGATACAGGTGGCTACCAGGGCGTGTGCGTGGCAAGCACCGCAGGTGACAGGGATGGAGGGGTTAGAAGACCCTGTCGTCAGATGAGCTGCCATCGCTCCGAGCCCGCACATCCAGCTGCTTTATCATTTAGCCAAACAATGTGCATTGACCCGCTTTAAGCTTTCCAAAGACAAAGTTCTCTGGTCTTCTTAAAGGATATAAGATGACCATAAATTGTTATTGTTCCCACAATAAATAGAAATCACTTGAAGACACTTCCCCTGTTCCAGGAAATTTAATTAGAAACATCAAACACAAAGCTCACGAATGAACAGTTTGAGCACTTTCTATGTAATTACATAACACAGTGGTGTGTGTGTGTGTGTGTGAGAGAGAGAAAGAGAGAGAGAGAGTGCAGGGTTGGGGGGGGGGTGTCCTCGTGACAGGAAACACTAAAGCAAGGAAAATGATCTGAAAACCTATAAAGACTTCCCCCAACCCAAGAACATACATTCCAAGGGACAAAAGAACAAAAGCAGGGACAGAGTGACAAAGTTTTAAAAATACAAAGAGGTCAAATCAGGTTGCACTCTATAGGCTGTAAAACACAAGCACTGTGCATTTAAAGCTGAACGATGGAGCACTCCAGCCAGACTGAATCATATTGGCAACCTGAAACTGTCGTCTGGGCACAGCTTGCACTGGCCTGGAGCCCGTGCCCCACTCTTCTCTCTGCAGTCGACCTTCTTCCTCCACCACCACTAGACTGGACCCTTGTGGGCTGGGCCCCCCAGGGGTCCCCTAGTTGCTAAACCCAATGGCTTCCTCTCACTGCTCATCCTACTGGTTTTTGCCTTGACCTCCTTCCTAAAGTTCTTTGCTTCTTGGTTCTACAGCATCGTTCTCTCCTTCTGCCTTTATGTCCATTTCCGCTCCATCTCCATCTCCTCTTCCTCCCTTCAAACATCAATGGGCCCCCAAGGTTTCATCTGCAACCTTTCCTTCTTTCTAGTCTGTATCCTCTACATGGAAATCTCAGCTGTTTCCACAGTCTGAGCCCCTTCTGGTCCTTTGATGGCCTCCTAACCTTCATCCATATTTTTTTTAATTATTATTATACTTTAAGTTTTACGGTACATGTGCACCACGTGCAGGTTTGTTACATATCTATACATGTGCCATGTTGGTGTGCTGCACCCATTAACTCGTCATTTAGCATTAGGTATATCTCCTAATGCTATCCCTCCCCCACCCCCACCCCACAACAGTCCCCGGTGTGTGATGTTCCCCTTCCTGTGTCCATGTGTTCTCATTGTTCACTTCCCACCTATGAGTGAGAACATGCGGTGTTTGGTTTTCTGTCCTTGCGATAGTTTGCTGAGAATGATGGTTTCCAGCTTCATCCATGTCCCTACAAAGGACATGAACTCATCATTTTTTATGGCTGCATAGTATTCCATGGTGTATATGTGCCACATTTTCTTAATCCAGTCTATCATTGTTGGACATTTGGGCTGGTAACCTTCATCCATATTTTAATCTCTCTCATGTGCAAACCTCACCTTCTCTACCCACAAAGGCCCTTCCCAGACTCTCAAAAGCACCATAACCAAAGTGAAACAGTTATCTTCACCCCAAAACTTCTCTTTTTCATTTAATCAGTAATGTGGTCTAGAAACCTGTCTACTTTACTGCTCTCTGTCTCTGTCATTTCCATCACCAACTACGTTCAGGTTTTCCGCTGACAAGACTCTCAAATGCCCGCCCGCTCCTCCATCCCTTCATCGTGGCTCTGGTTCATGTCCTCCTTCTCTCACTTCTGCAATATATCCACCACTCCTTCCTGGTCCCGTAGCCCCCAGCGAGCCCACTGCTACCTGCTATCTCCTATCTGTTACTGAAATTACTCTTCTGGAAATAAGATTTGATTATGTCATTACCCTACTTAAATCTTTGAGGTTTCATGTCTATGGGATCGAGTTCAAATCCCTTTGCACGTTACCCGTGGCATTCAAAGCCTTTCTAAACCTAACCCCAACTTCGCAGGCTCATCTGTCACTACAGCCACTGTCCCCAGTACAAACACTCCACGCCGTACACATGTCAGCTCAACCCAACCACACCGCTGAACAGCTAGTTTCCAAAACACACAGCGGCCTTTCACGCCACTGGCCTTTGTTCAAGTTCTGCCCACCCCCTCCTTCCCTGAACGTCATTCATTCCTTTTTCTTTCTGCTTGGCAAAATTCCATGTCTTTTTCTTTTTCTTTTTTGAGACGGAGTCTCGCTCTGTCACCCGGGCTGGAGTGCAGTGCTGCCATCGTGGCTCACTGCAACCTCCGACTCCCTGGTTCAAGCGATTCCCCTGCCTCAGCCTCCCAAGTAGCTGGGATTACAGGTGCCCGCCACCACGCCCAGCTAATTTTTGTATTTTTAGTAGAGACGGGGTTTCACCATGTTGGCCAGGATGGTCTCGATCTCCTGACCTCGTGATCCGCCCACCTCAACCTCCCAAAGTGCTAGGATTACAGGTGTGAGCCACTGCGCCCGGCTAATTCCATGTATTTTTCAAAGGCCCAGATGGTATATTTCCTCCTTTTTTTTTTTTTTTTTTTTTTTACTGTGAGATGGAGTCTCGCTCTGTCACCCAGGCTGGAGTGCAGTGGCGTCATCTAGCTCACTGCAACCCCCGCCTCTGGGGTTCAAGCAATTCTCCTGCCTCAGTATCCTGAGTAGCTAAAACTACAGACGCACACCACCATGTCCAGCTAGTTTTTTTGTTTTTTTGTTTTTTTAGTAGAGACTAGTTTTCACCATGTTGACCAGGCTGGTCTCGAACACCTGAGGTTTTTCTCAATTGCTTCTCACCTACGCAGAATGATGCCCTCATTCTGAAAAAAATGTGGCTTAAACGTACATTACCTATCCCATGTACACATCCCATTACAGTCCTTAACATGCTTCCTGTATGAGAACAGGAGTTGCATGCATTCTGTTTCTGTGTCTTCAGACCTAATAATACTTGTACCAACTGGTGCTCAAGACACTTCTGATGATCACCATTATTGGGGGCTCTCCTCTGATTCCCCATCAGGCTCTTCACCCTTCTCCTGTGCTGCAGATCTGCAAAGTAAGTAATGTATCCTAATGACCTTCCGCTCAACACTAGTACCATCCACTCAACACTAGTACCATCCACTCAACACTAGTACTATCCACTCAACACTAGTACTATCCACTTAACACTAGTACTATCCACTCAACACTAGTACTATCCACTCAACACTAGTACTATCCACTCAACACTAGTACCATCCACTCAATACTAGTACTATCCACTCAACACTAGTACTATCCACTCAACACTAGTACTAGAAAACAGTACCATCTCTTTTCTCCTCCGTAATATGTTTCTTTAAGTTTCAATGCAAGCCTGTGCAGAAAGAACCTCAAAGGTTTCTCTTGAGGCATAAAAATTATTTGAGTCCTTCCTGATTTATTTTAAAACATGCACTTATGTGCCTGAATGCTTAAGTAATATTATACAGTTGAATAATCCTGAGATCACTGTTTGTTTTGACTGGAAAAAGTCTTAAATTTGTTAATTTATGATATTTTCTCCCTATAAACCTTCATCCTTGTTGAATAAGTAAAATTTGGTAAAAAGAGACAGCAGATTTTTATACAGATGAAAGGACTTTATAAAATGCATAACTGTGGGAGAAATAAAAATTCCAGTGTTTCAAAAATTGCATTTTTTTCAAGTTGTGACAAGACATTTATTTGAATGATAAAGAAAGCCATTATTCTATTTAAAAAACACCAAATTTCCATCAAAAAGGAATCTCTGTGATAAATTACTGGAAAAGTCAAATAAAAATTTAATCTTGAAATGCTAAATGTTTTCTTCACCTGATGATAGGCTGTACAAATTGCAAAAGTTGAATCCTTCCTCCTTTTCCCCATATTTCAAAGAAAATCAAATCATCACCCACAGGCAGCTCATCCTGATTGTAAGCCAGGTGCCTGCGAGGAAATAATCTTTTGAGAGCTGAATTTCCAAGACTAAAGGAAACCATCCCATTTTCCATAGTGATGAAAGAATTCTAAATGACTACTTAGGCTTTTAACTTCATAAATGATGGCTCTGGAAAATAAAAGCTGTTTTGCTTTGCTTTATCTAGTCAGTTTCAATGGACTGTGGTGTTAGGATGGTTGGCTCTCCATGCTGTTAAATGTATACCCAGTCCTCTCTCAGTCCTCTCCAAGTGAAACGATCTGAGGTCCAAGCGACCAGTGAGTGGCAGGGCAAAGAAAAGAAGTGGGCTGGGCTCTGGGAATGCCTTTTCTTCCTGAGTTCTCTGAAAAAGCAACACAAAAATGCGTGTGCCCTAAGGATGCCTTGGCTAAAAACAGACATTGAAGGGTTTGTGAACTGGTTTTTTATCCTTCTCCTGTGCTTTAGATAGACATGTACCTACCAGTAGTTAAAAAATTATCATAGAGTCATTCTGAGCATCTTAACTCCAGACCTTCAGCTTATGCTGGGCCCAGAACTCAGAGCCAAGCCAAGCCCAGAGATACACTGGCTAACTCCCTCCTCACTACCAATTATTATTATAAAAAATGGAAATGAGAATCTGTTTCTATCCCAGTTTCTCATAATCTTTTCCAGTTTCTAATACCTTTACTATTTAACCTAAAGTTGTTAATAATTGGGCAATGGCCAGGCGTGGTGGCTAACACCTGTAATCCCAGCACTTTGGGAGGCCAAGGCGGTTAGATCACATGAGGTCAGGAGTTTGAGACCAGCCTGGCCACCATGCATAAACCCGTCTCTATAGAAAAAATACAAAAATTAGCCGGGCGTGGTGGTGGGTGCCTATAATCCCGGCAACTCGGGAGGCTGAGACAGGAGAATCACTTGAACCCAGGAAGTGGAGGTTGCAGTGAGCCAAGATCGTGCCACTGCACTCCAGCCTGGGTGACAGAGCAAGACTCCATCTCAAAAAGAAATAATAATAATAGCCAGGAATGGTGGCTCACGCCTGTAATCCCAACACTTTGGGTGGCCGAGGAGTGGGGAATCACCTGAGGTCAGGAGTTCAAGAGCGGTCTGGCCAACATGATGAAACCCCATCTCTACCTAAAATACAAAAATGAGCCGGGCATGGTGGCGCATGCCTGTAATCCCAGCTACTTGGGAGGCTGAGGCAGGAGAATTGCTCAAACCCGGGAGGCGGAGGTTGTTGCAGCGAGCTGAGTTCACACTGCTGCACTCCAGCCTGGGCGACAGAGCGAGACTCGGTCTCAAAAATAAATAAATAAATAAGTGCACATCAATTTAAAATAAATTCTTTTCTCATACAAGAGCAATTTAATCACAAAATGGTCAAAAATGTAGCCTCTGAACAATGTGCTGTGACTTGCATATTTTAGGTGCTCCAAAACTCTTAGTCGAATGGAACTGATGAAACCTCAAGAGGACTCCTCTGACTTTTAACAAGAATCAGGGATTTGGGAGCTGTCTTTTTGATTCATGACAGTTCACTAAACCAACCACTCGGTGAAATTATATCCATCCCAAATTAGACCAAGAAATAATCAGATGGTGCTGAAATGACCTGCCCTATTAGCTTAGTGTAGCTATTATTGGCTCTTTGCCTTTCTATGCTTTTTAGTCATTCTACATACAAATCAGACTGATGGTGTTATTAACTTTATTAACAGCATCGCTTCCAGCCTATTGCCCTTACCAGACTGTGTAACTGGGCCTGCAGACGTTACCCCCCAGCCTCCGACCATAAATTAAAATGTTCTTTTCTACTAAGCATATTATTTTCCCCAGTGTCACGTCAGCACAATATTAAAGGCTGGTTTTAAAACACTGAAAAGCTGGGGTTCCATGGCTCATGCCTGTAATCCCAGCACTTTGGGAGGCCAAGGCAGGAGGATCACTTAAGACCAGGAGTTCCAGACCAGCCTGGCCAAAAAGGTAAAACCCCATCTCTACCAGAAAAAAATTCAAAAATTATCCTGCCATGGTGGTGCATGCCTATTGTCCCAGCTACTCACGAAGCTGAGGTGGGAGGATCACTTGGGCTGGGTGGCTGAGGCTGCAGTAAGCTGTGATTGCACCGCTGCACTCCAGCCAGGGTGACAAAGAGAGACCTGAAAAAAAAAAAGGAAGGAAGGAAGGAAGGAAGGAAGGAAGGAAGGAAGGAAGGAAGATAAAACACAGCAAAAAGTGAAGTCAGTGGTACTTGGCTTGAGACCGTCTAGGAAACAGACAGGTGCCTTTTAGACCTATTGTTCCAGATCAGAATCAATTCTTCAAACAGAAAAACCTGTTTGCTAACTCCAACCCTTACAGACCCCAGAGAATCCGAATGGACCATAACAGTAGTGAAGTCAGCTGGGCGCAGTGGCTCACGCCTGTAATCCCAGCACTTTTGGGGGGCCAAGGCGGGTGAATCACAAGCTCAGGAGTTCGAGACCAGCCTGACCAACATGGTGAAACCCTGTCTCTAAAAATAGAAAAATTAGCCAGGCGTGGTGGCACACGCCTGTAATCCCAGCTACTCAGGAGGCTGAGGCAGGAGAACTGCTTGAACCCAGGCAGCGGAGGTTGCAGTGAGCTGAGATCACGTCACTGCACTCCAGCCTGGGTCACAGAGCAAGACTCCATCTTAAACAAAAAAAGAAAAGAAAGAAAAACAAAAAACCAGTAGTGAAGTCAATGGTCTCAATGTTCAATGTGTACGCAACTCTCCAGGCAGAAACTTGGCAATTTTAGAACTGACATTAACTCCTTCTGATAGAATCTTCAGCTAAAAATCTTCACTAAATCACACACCACTAATGACATTTTGTAGTGCTAATTCAGCACACTGACCGAAGAAAAGCCAGGCCCAATCTGGAAAATAAAGTTCTGCCAAGCAAACACAGCAAAAAGACTTGCTTTCACAGGCTTGAAGAACAAATATGAATCCAAGAAAATGGATATCCAATTTAGATACAATGTCTATTCATTAAAATGTGTCTTTTAAAGCCCTCCACCTGACAATTACACAGTAAGCCATACATTTGTTTATGCTAACGCTTAAGCTAAAAGTATCGAAATTCTTTTTCTTAAAAAAAAAAAAAAAAACCTATAACTCAGGTTCTCATTAACTGGGACCAGTGCCCGACCAACCAGTTCAAATTAGAAACATATCCTTAACTTTAGTAGGTAGATGCTTAGGAACAGACAGATCCTTCAAAATAGTTACGCTTTCTTACTGAAACGTTCTCATCTTCCTCTTTAACTGGTGAATTCCACAATGATAAGCAATCCTGCATAATAGCTTCAAGAACCATGATGAGACATTCTTAAATACCCACACGATTAGCTTAATTTCTGTCCAGATCAGTTTTCATTCTGAGTACAATCCTATGTCTGAAACCACCAGGGCAGGTCTAGGTTATGACAATACTTGTCACAGGGAGAAGGCATCAAAATGCTGACACAATTATTGCTTGTGATATCTTTGGTTTCTGCAGGTGTTTCTGCGGCACTAAGTCTTTACTGTTAACAGCCTCACTGATCCAAACGCAGAAGACAAATAAATTCCACATGAGTGCCTACTGCCACACTCTAAAACACACGCTTTGTTTAATAGCACTCCTTCCTTTCCTCCTTCACTTCTCTGACAGGCTCCCACATTTTATCTCTGCTCTTTTCATGCCATTTGTTAAAGGTTGATATGGAACCAAAGTGAGTCAATCATTTTTTTTTCTTATACCAACAGGGAGCATCCATGGAAGCCTGGTTTTTGAAGGCAGAGGCAGAATAAAATATTCAAGCCAGGCATAGTGGCTCACGCCTGTAATCCCAACAGTTTGAGAGGCCAAGGCAGGAGGATCACTTGAGGCCAGGAGTTGGAGACCAGCCTGGATAACAGAGCAAGACCCCCAACTCTCCAAAAAAAAAAGAAAAGAAAAAAGAAAAAATTAGCTAGGTGTAGTTGCACACACCTGTAGTCCTACTTACTTGGGAGGCTGAGGTGAGTGGATCGCCTGAGCCCAGGAGTTCAAAGTTACAATGAGCTATGATCACCATTGCACTCCAGCCTACAGTGTGACAGAGTGAGACCCTGTCTCTTAAAAAAATTCACCTCTTTTTGAGATTACAAAATCTCCTCATAGCTACAGCTTAAAAAGCTGGCAACACTCCAGGGCAAATAAAGTGTCCATGTGGGCCATGCATGCATTTGTTGCCAGGGTGCATTTTCCTTGGATGACAAAGGTACTGACGTGGATGAAACTGCAACCCCCAGGATACCCCCTTTGTTCATCACCTGTGCGGACCTCTTCGACAGCACTTCTCACTATGGTCTTCCCAGATCTCCTGTTGGAGACAGATTTCTCCCTGCAGGGGTGGCTCTTCAGAGGGGAACTCCCCTTTCTCACTCCCATCCCTGATGGTGGGGGAACCAGACCTAGCAGATGCTCATGTTCTGCTCTCTGACTGCTACAAACATCCAACATGCTCCCAATGCCAGCCGCATAGCTCCATTGTCACATGGTTGGCAAAACCTGAATGGTGAAGCAACGACGGGACAGAATGTTCATGATTAATCCCAACTGGCCATCCCTCATCTGGCCATTCCCACTCACCAGATCCTCTGACTTTAGGCACTCTTTTGAGCTTATTTCCATTCTCATTCAGGGCAGATGTCTCAACAAGTACCTTAAAGGAAAATTCTGTTAAGCTCCCAGCTAACTAAACACACATCAATACACTCTTTAAGTATGCTTCAAGCTATTCCATAAAAAAACAGAGTCCTTATAGGTAAAACAATTACTACATTAAAGGGACGTTTGGCTGTGTCTGTGTTAAAAAAAAATCAATATTCTGGCTTAAAACAATCAATAAAAGTTTGAAATAGCAGAACACTGGAAAAATCCTAAATATCCATTAATGGAGGACTGGTTAAGTAAGTTACAATCTAAAAATACGACGGAGGCCAGGCGTGGTGGCTCATGCCTGTAATCCCAGCACTTTGGGAGACCAAGGCAGGAGGATTGCTTGAGGACAGGAGTTTGAGACCACCTGTCTTGTTTGAGACAAGGCCTGTTGCTCTTGTCTCGATTCTCCCATGAGGCTGCCTACACTCTTCCTTTCTCTTTTTTTTTTTTTTTTTTTGCCTCAGTTTTGCCACCTGCAATATGGACATGAGTTCCACTGCCCCCCTCCCCCACCACTTCAGATAAAAGCTGCGAGGGAGAGCTCCTGACCTGCCCTGGGACCCCACCAAGTGGGGAAAGCCTTAAGCATGCACGGTCTGTGTGTTTGTTTTCTGCACAGTACTGGCTGGATGGAGAATAATAATGCTCTTCTGCATCTAATCACTAGTCTGCTGGACGCCTAGCAACTGGCCTGCACCTCCTCGGGCCCTTCCTGGAACTGGCACTCCATCCTCATCATCGCAAGACAATGCGTATGTCAGCAATACGTTCTGGAAATGTATCTAAACCATACACACAAAAATGTAATACTAGCATGATTTAACACTGTCCCACGTGCCATACAATTCAGTGCTTCTGAAAAGTCTGCTTAAACATAAAAACTGGATACACAGATCATTTTCACCGTTCAATCAGATACATCTCACAAGCAGCAGCAAAATGACCTCCCTTTCTCCAGTCACTGTTCCCTTCCCTTCACCTGCAGGAACAAATCACCATGTCTCACCTCTTATAAACGCGAGGGTCACAGAGCTAAAGAGATCACCTGTCAGCCACCAGGATGCTTCAGTGCTGGCATCTTTCCTGAGGGTAAATGTCACAGGCAATGATACGGACCATGTTTCTTTACTGGATTTTGAAACAAAAATACCAAGTCCAGCATAATCTAAACTAAGCGGGTCTATTTTCCCTGTATGTTCCCAGCTAGTGGCTGACGGTGCCTTCCCCTTTCCACGGGCCTCACAGTGCGCAGAACAGGAAAGATCAGAGAGTACATTTTAAAAAGGAAAAGATGGAACACAAGTCGTGTCATTGTTCTTCGGCCTAGCATTTGATACGGCATCCAGCAAGTGATATTCAGTCAGTGAGTTCCAATGCCTTGGCCGTGCTTAATTACATAGAAAGATAATCTGGGTTCCTTGAAGAATTCAGGTTGATTAAATTTCTAAATTAAAAAAATACAATGAAAATGTTGGAACATTTTAGGGGAAAAGAATTAGAAGATATACATAGGTTAATCTTCTTAAGCAAAATGCAAAATCCAAAAGTCTCAGCGGAAAGGGGAAAATATTCAAGTCCTACTAATACAATATTAATAAAGAGATAATAGCCCTGTTATGCCAAGGGCTTCCCACTAACACAGCCATGTGCACAATTCCAGGGGCACTCACTGTGCACAGAAATCATGCCCAGCAGAGACAGTCCGGGCCTGCAGATGCGGGGAAGGATACAGACATACAATTCACAGAATGGCCAACGAGCATATTAACTGATGCTCAACACTCACTAGCAGTCGCAAAAATGCTAAACAAAACCTCAGCAAGGCAGGCTTTTTCTCAGCAGGTTGGGAAAAGGTAAAGTTATGTGGGAGAGTTGCTAAGTATAAATTGCTACAACATTTTGGGAAACTAATCTGGCTATACCTGTTAAATTACATTTTAAGAACTCTATTCTATAAAAATAAAAGCATTAGGCTGGGTGCGGTGGTTCACTTCTGCAATCCTACCACTTTGGGAGGTCAAGGCAGGCGGATCACTTGAGGTCAGGAGTTCGAGACCAGCCTTGCCAACATGGCAAAACCCTGTCTCTACTAAAAAGACAAAAATTAGCCGGGCACAGTGGTACACATGTGTAATCCCAGCTACTTGGGAGGTTGAGGAAGGAGAATCACTTGATCCCAGGAGGTGGAGGTTGCAGTGAGCTGAGATCACACCACTGCACTCCAGCCTGGGCAACAGAGGGAGACACCATCTCAAAAAAAAAGAAGAAGAAAAAGTGAAAACCCACAAAAACAACAGAGATTCCTAGTAAAAGTTTAATGGTACATCTGTACCATGGAATGTCATATGGCTACAGAAAAGAATTTATCTAGAGGAATATAAATATCACAACGTATCTAGAGGGATGTAAATATCCCATATGTAAATATCCCAAATGAGGAAAGTAAGCTTAGATAGTCCGTCATTCAGCAGAATACTCTGTAGCAGTTTAACTAACTGATGAGATCTACATGCATTAACAGGGATAAACCTGGAAAACATAATTACAATTGAAAAAAAGGTTACCAAAAGATACAGTATTTCTTCCGTTTATATCAATCTGTAAAACACAAACAGCCACACCAACACTAACCGCTACATTGTTTGGGTATATAATACATACATAGGTAGTGAAAGTACAAAGACACACCATTAGGATACACCCCCCTCTTCGAGTAAAGGTTGCCTCTGGAGAGGAAAGAGGAGGTGCAATGGCTTGAAGGCCAGGTGCAGTGCGGTGGCTCACACTTGTAATCCCAGCACTGTGGGAGGCCGAGACGTGTGGATCACCTGAGCTCAGGAGAGCGAGGCCAGCCTGGCCAACATGGAGAAACCCCATCTCTACTAAAAATACAAAAATTATCTAGGTGTGGTGGTGTGCACCTGTAATCCCAGCTACTCTGGAGGCTAAGGTAGGAGAATGGCTTGAACCTGGGAGGCGGAGGCTGCAGTGAGCCAAGATCACGCCACTGCACTCCAGCCTTGGAGACAGAGTGAGCCTCCGTCTCAAAAATAAAATAAAATAAAATAAAGACATGAAGTATGGCTAGATCCATAACTTTTTTTTTTTCAGAACTCTGAAGCAAAGATGGCAAAATGTTAATTAACATTTGCTCAGTCTGGGTGGTGGGTACATGGTAATCTGTTCACTTATTTTTCTACACTTTTGGGTAAATTTGAAATCTTTCATGATTTTCAAAAAATTAACCAAAGGCATAAAAGATAAAGGTGCCTTCAGGAAACTGCACAGTTGGGAGGACACATATGGAAGGAGACCCTAGGTCCCAGCTCCCTATGCAAAGTCCAGGTTTACATACAGCATCCCAGCACAGCAGTTAACAGCCACACTGTTAAGCCCAGGGAAAGGTACTTATCCCCTCTGAGCCTGTGTCCTCATCTGTGGTGTTACCACAGATAACACACCACAACTCCATGGGGTTATGAAAAGATTCAATGAGAAGATGGAAATTCTACACTTGCTTCTTAGTGTGGTGGGTAAACAGTAACTGCATGGATGAGGCAACAGACCCTACCACAAAACTATTCACAAAACATTACAAGAACTCAGAGGCAAGAGAACTCAACTCTGCCAGCCAAAATCAAGCACCAAACCTTCATGAAGTAGCCACATTTGAGTAATCTTTCAGGAGTGGGAATTTTCAGAGTAAACCTGTCCATGTTTGCAGAGTACAGGACCAACACTGTTAGAACCTAACTAAAGAGGCCCAGGGGTCCTAGGAATGGCTTCTGGATGCTGGCCAGACAGTTTTAATAACTTTACTTAACTCCTGGCTCCATTATTTCTTGGAGCTGACTTCATGGAGGACTTATTGGCCATTCTCATGAGGAGAACACACCACTTAATGGGGTAGAGTTAACCACTAATGACAATGGAAGAAGGGAATAAAGTCCCTGTTCTCATACACTTTGGTGGGGGCAGGGGGAACAAGACCCAGAAAACACTGAACAAATAAAAACAAGTCACTTCAGAACAGAGAGTGAAATTTGGTGGTATCCTAAGAAGTTGGAGCCACAGCTGGCGTTAGCAGACAGAGCTGGGAGAGACAGGGCCTGGCCTGGCTGCGCACAGATGTGCAAAGGACCCTGCGGTGGGTGGGCAACTGAGAGCAGGCAGAGTCCCCACGGGAAAAGCAAGCAGGCGCATACGATGGGCTGTAGCAGGGACTGTGCCTCACTTCCTGTGTCTCAGCTTATCTTAACATCTTTCCAGCTAACAGGACCCTGACGTCACCAGGGCAGCAATGTGGCCAGCGGCTAGCTGCTCACCAAACCTGTTTCCTTCTCTTCCCAGGCACAGAGCTAGACTCTAGTTCCCAACCTTGCAGTTATCTGTGGCCACAAGACTGGGCTCTGCCAATGAAGCCTAAATGAATGACATGGGCACTTCCAGGCTGGCCCACAAACACCTCTCACACATGACTCGCCATTCTAGTTCACCGCCTGCTTGCTAAATGCAGAGGACTCCAAGGTTCTGGAGGAGGACAGTCCACAAGATACAAGGAGCTCAGGTCTCAGTCCCCATATGGAAGACCTACTGCCAACCAGCAACATTCGCACTGATCCCTGACGAGAGAAAAATAATGGCTTATTTTGTTAAGCTATTAAAATGTGGAGGTTTGGCCAGGCGCTGTGGCTCATGTCTGTAATCTCAGCACTTTGGGAGGCCGAGGTGGGCAGATCACTGAGGTCAAGAGTTCGAGACCAGTCTGGCCAGCATGGTGAAAGCCCATCTCTACTAAAAATACAAAAATTAGCTGGGCGTGGTGGCACATGCATGTAATTCCAGCTACTCAGGAGGCTGAGACAGGAGAATTGCTTGAACCCAGGAGGTGGAGGTAGCAGTGAGCCGAGATCGTGCCACTGCACTCCAGCCTGGGCGACAGAGCAAGACTCCGTCTAAAAGAAAATTAGCTGGGTCTGGTGGTGGGTGCCTATAATCCCAGCTACTGGGGAGGCTGAGGCAGGAGAATCACTTGAACCTGGGAGGCGGAGGTTGCAGTGAGCCGAGATTGCGCCACTGCACTCCAACCTGGGTGACAGAGCGAGACTCCATGATTGATACATTGATTGACTGATAGACAGATAGATAGATAGACAGATAGATAGATAGATAGACAGATAGATAGATAGATAGATGTGGAGGTTTGTTTGTTACAAGAGCTAACATTGGCCTGTTGCACCAAATTACAAAAGTACAGTCCCCAAAATTCCCTTTCAGCTGGAGGTAGCCAATGACACTCCAGGCAACTTATCCCGTGAAGCTTGCAGAAGAACTCTTGCAAAGGGGTTGATTCAGCTATCAGGCAGATTCTTTTGTCCCTTGCCCAGGAGACGTCCTGGAATAAGAATGTGATGGCTGGATCTCCAGCAATCAGCTTGTGACCTTGAGGATGACGTTTCTTTCTAATGGTGATGGAACAGAAATAAACAGAAAGAACCTAGGGTTTCTTGTATCTTTACAGAGCCACCATACTAGCCTTGCAGACCCTATTTTTAAAATTATTTTACATGAGATGATAATAAACCCACAATCTATTTATGCCATGTCAGAACACTAACTGTTCCTACCAATTTTTCTGTTACTATCAGCCAATTTTCCCTCTTTAGTAATAAAGTGACCTGGGTAGACTGGAGGGCCTGCGTCATTTTCAAGAGTAGAGGGAGGCAGGGTGGATCATGATAACACAGAGCCATTATAATAATGGCACTAAAGACTCAAAAGGGACAAAAGCTTAATACCTAACACTTTCCGTAAAGCAGAAATAGTATCTACACTGTGACTGGAAAGCAAACAGATCGGAAGTTTATGGCAGGAAAATTATCCTTTAAAAGGATAAACTCATGATTGGGTCAGTCTGCAAAGGAGGACAGAATCACTTTATGGAATGATAACCAGGAGATGGTACTTGGAGTGACTTATGAGCCACTTCCTTCCATTCAAATAATCTCACAGCCAGATAAACAATGCAAGGGAAAGATGATTCAGTGCAGAGAAACACCAACCACTGCCAATAAACAAAGTGGTGCCGTCAGAAAGGGCAGTCTTTTAACACTGTTTTAATTTTTGTGGGTACACAGTAGGTGTATATATTTATGGGGTAAATGAGATGTTTTGATACAGCATGCAATGCGTAATAATCCCATCATGGAGAATGGGGTACCCATCCCCTCAAGCAATTATCCTTTGTGTTACAAACAATGCAATTATAGTCTTTTATTTTAAAATGTACAATTATTATTGACTTATAGTCACCCTGTGGTGCTATCAAACAGTCTTATTCTATTTTTTGTACCAATTAACCATCCCCACTTCCTACCCACCCCCCTCCCCAACCTTTCGCAGTCTCTAGAAGCCATTCTTCTACTCTCTATCTCCGTGAGTTCGACTGTTTTGCTTTTTAGATCCCACAAATAGGTGAGAACATGCGATGTTTGTCTTTCTGTGCCTGGCTTATTTCACTTAACACGATGATCTCCAGTTCCATCCATGTTGTTGAAAATGACAGGATCGTATTCTTTTTATGGCTGAATAGTACTCCATTGTGTATAGGTACCAGGTTTTCGTTATCCATCCATCTACTGATAGACACTTAAGTTACTTCCAAATCTTGGCTACTGCAAACAGTGCTGCAACTAACACAGGAATGCAAATATCTCTTTGATACACTGATTTCCAGAAAGGTCAATCTTGAAAATAAAAAGATAGGCCGGGCACGGTGGCTCACGCCTGTAATCCCAGCACTTTGGGAGGCCGAGGCGGACGGATCACGAGGTCAGGAGATCGAGACCATCCCGGCTAAAACGGTGAAACCCCGTCTCTACTAAAAATACAAAAAATTAGCCAGGCGTAGTGGCGGGCGCCTGTAGTCCCAGCTACTTGGGAGGCTGAGGCAGGAGAATGGCGTGAACCCAGGAGGCGGAGCTTGCAGTGAGCCGAGATCCCGCCACTGCACTCCAGCCTGGGCGACAGAGCGAGACTCCGTCTCAAAAAAAAAAAAAAGAAAATAAAAAGATAAACAGGACTCTTGTGGCCAAGTGGTCAATATGTATCTTTTGAATAAAGGAATGGAGACAAAGTACCAAATTAAGAAAATTATACATTGTAAATTATAGTTTCCAATTATAAATTTTTCTAATTACAAATAAAAAAATAAGATTTTTCTGTTATAGGAATGATTTAATTGCTCAATAACCTGCCCAGGGAGAGGGCTGTCAACTGGAAATGATGGGCTGGGCTGGCCAAAGCTCTCCCCTGTGCAGTATTTCTAATAAGCCTTTATTGGGAAGAGCCGGGTAAGGGACCTGTTAGAAATTTACTATGAGAGAATTCTCTGATTCCTAGATTATAAATCTTTGTAATTAGAGACAGAAAATCTCCTTTGACTTTACTGTCAATTCCCTAGCCTCATCATTTAGCAGTTATTTGCTGTACCAACCACCCAGGTAGGAAGACCAGCAAAAGCAATTTTTCAGTTTGTGACCAACCCAGAGAGAACATGATGAGAACATTATTGCTTAGAAAACAGAGACAGGCCGGGCGATGTCAGGGGACAGCAGTTTTAAGTCTTATTCCTCAGTTATAATTAGTCTGCATTTTGTACTTCTCATTGGAGCACGCAAGTTAGGCCTCGAAGGAGTGAGCACCATCCCACGCTCTTTCTGTGCAAAATGGGAGGCGTGGTTTGGATCCGTTCCACTGTGATGATTCCCTGGAGTCTCTCCTGCTCCGTGGCAGTTCATGATGGTACACGCTGTAATCATTATGTTTATCATCAGTAACTTGGTTCCAAATAATTGGACTTTGTTCACAGACAGTATGTTTAAGCAAATATGATGCACACAGTAAGGTCCAGGCACTAGAACCTTCTGACGTTGGTAATTTCCACGTGCCCCTGGCAACCATTATCTCATCTCAGGACAGGGCAGAAGGGGGATGAATGCACTCTGGGAAGCCTCTTGGAGCCAGCCTTGCTGTGTGCCTAACTAGGTCCTTAATATATACTACGTATTTCTGAAGACAAACAAGTTATCAGCATATCATCATCAAACTGCGATGGTCTCTCCATGAAAACTCAAAGCAAGAATACTGATGTGAATAAAAACTCTGTGAAGGCATATGCTGCCTGGTTTATTTTCCACAGGAGAAGCCTCACATGTAGGGTCCTTGAAGCCTGTGTTCAAATTAATTGTCTTATCCTGGACAATCTCAACTTTTTTTTTTTTTTTTAAGCAGAGTCTCACCCTGTCTTCCAGGCTAGAGTGCAGTGGCACAATCTTGGCTCACTGCAACCTTCACCTCCCAGAGTTCAAACAATTCTCCTGCCTCAGCCTCCTGAGTAGCTGGGATTACAGGCGCCCGCCATCACACTCGGCTAATTTTTGTATTTTTAGTAGAGACAGGGTTTCACCATGTTGGCCAGGCTGGTCTCGAACTCCTGACCTCAAGTAATTCTCCAACGTCAGCCTCCCAAAGTGCTGGGATTACAGGCGTGAGCCACCACACCCAGCCTAATCTCAACTTCTGATTACCTCAGTCTCTAATTTTAATGATGGAACAGAAAGGAAGGGGTCTGAAAAAGTAATCTGCAAAACTAGTTCTTGGCAGAAACTAGGGGGAACCGCTGCCTCCCCAGACCCCGAGGCCACGGGAAGACCTTCCTGGAATCCCCGTCAATTCTCCAAGATCCCACAAAACATTCCTATAACAGGATTTTCGTACTTCTCCATTGGTTAGACTGCACAAACCAAAACTATTAGCATGTCAATTACCAAGCTGTCTTTTCCCACCAGAATATCTACCATGTTGAATGGCAAGATCACCAACTGTCAGACCTGGATGATGCAGAGATCATCAAGTTCAACCACCTCATTTCCCAGAAAAGGAAACTGAGGCCCAGAAAGGAAGAATGGCTTGCCTAAGACCCAGTTGCTTACAACACTGAGATAATTCAGTCCTGTGCTTTCCCCAAACAAGATATTCATGTCCATCTGAGAGTTCAGCCTGCCTAGGGCCCCCCACTCGCAGCCTAAAGGAAGCAGCCTCACTGTGTTCCCGTGTTGATGCCAACAGCCTCCGGGTTCAACGGGGGCAGTGCTGAAGAATGCGTGGCCTTGGGAGCCGGCCAGACCTTGATCCAAATCCCAACACCAGAGCTGTAGCTTCCCCTTACACAGAACAGGGATACTATTCCGTCCCTTAGAATCACAATAAACATTGTATGCTTACGTATATCACAAGCACATCATCAAGCTTCGTACAGGGTTGCCAGTTGGCTAAATGTCTTTTTCATTAGTTTATAAGAGAAAATTCACATTTGTTTCCATTTCCAAAGCCTTACCTCCACAAAGCACAGGACAAGAGATCCACATTCATCTCAGTGTAATATGGGGAAAAAGGGCTTCTTAACTATTCTTGCCAAGATTTAATCATATTCATCCTGAAAGGCTCATGGGTATCCAGCCCTGGAAAAAAATCATTACAATATATATTGCCTTAAGGGCTTTCTTCACGACTTTTCCCAGCACTCGTATTTTTAAATTACGTTTGCTTAAAAGAGACTTTCTTGCTCAGCCACCACGAGCAAAATTTGTGTGTGACCCCGTACATGGAGTAAGGGACTACCCGGCACTGTGTGGCTCGTCTCTATGACCTTAGAAAACAGACTCACAGACCCACTACTAAACGCTCATGAGCACCAGCACATATGTCATCTAAATCAAGCAAACTCATGGTCGATATAAATCATGCAATCCAGAAATACAGATTCATAAGGAGGGTAGCCCCTTTGTCCCAATTTGCCAGAACAATCCCAGTATAATTATTCCTAGTGCCGCTCTGCACCCAGAAAAGTGTACCAATGTGGACGAGACACTCCATGGTGATTACACATACCATTCGTATATGGCAGGTACCCACAGGTAAGACGTCCTCAGTAAAGAAGAATCCATGAACCCTGACCCCAGTGTGCCAACCTGGTTGGGCAGGTGGTCCACCCTCTCTTGAGTATTTGTTCCCTCCTATGAAAAAACTGAGAATTATGCTACCTACTTTGCAGGGTGATTTTAACATCACGGATGTTCCCCGCGGGGTGCTTGGGACATCTGTGCCTTACAAATGCAGCTATGACGATGAGGGTGAAGATGAGAGAGCAAGCACAGTGGCTCACACCTGTAATCTCAGCACTTTGGGAGACCAAGACGGGTGGATTGCTTGAGCCCAGGAGTTCAAGACCAGCCTGGGCAACAAGGTGAGACACTATCAAGTCCAGGAGTTCAAGACCAGCCTGGGCAACAAGGTGAGACACTATCAAGTCCAGGAGTTCAAGACCAGCCTGGGCAACAAGGTGAGACACTATCTCTACAAAAAATAAGAAAATTAGCCAGGTGTAACGGCATGCACCTGTAGTCCCAGCTACTCAGGAGGCTGAAGCAGGAGGATTGCTTGACCCTAGGAGTTTGAGGCTGCAATGAGCCATGATCATATCACTGCAATCCAGCCGGGGTGACAGAAAGGAACCCTGACTCCAAAAAGAAAAAAAAAAAAAAAAGATGAGGATTTCCTCACTTTACCTCTCTAGAGCTGTTTCCTTATCTATAACATCTGACACTCACAAATCATTTTACCTTTGACAAGGTGCCTTCCTACCCATGAGGGTGTGATTTTTAAAATCAGGAGGTGGGCTTAGACCCCGGGAGTCTCTTCCAGCTCTAAGCACCTATGATTCTACTATTCCAATATTTGAATATGTGGGTACGTTTGTAAATGTACCACACCTTCCAGAAAAGACAGCAGCAATCACTGAAATCACGCTTGTCTGTACTATAGAATGCTACTGGCACCTCTTCTGCAAGTCACCTGGCTTTTCTCAGATTTCCTACATGCAGAATGAATATAATTCTGACTTTAGGATGATCAATGTGAGGCACTAACCAGGCACTTCATTCTGAAAGTGATTTGTACATTTATCCCTATGGCAATTTTCTAGCTAGCATGTGCTAATATGTGATAGTCAAGTGTTAAGACATTAACATGCTTCTTCTTATTGTATAATTGTAGTTATGTCTGTGGACTTTTGAGCCATACAGCCTAGATCATTCCTTGACTAACTAGCTATGTGACCTTGGCAAATTACTTAATTCCTCCAAGGAGGTAACATCATCTCTAAAATGGGACTAACACTACCCACCTAATAGGGTTATTGCAATGATTAAATGGGTTACTATAAACATAATGCTCAGAACAGTGTCTGGCCCTTAGTAAGAATTGGATAACTGTTATTTGACTCGTTGTTGCTATTAATGGCCAAATAAAAAAGTTTTTAAAAATCAAATGCCAAAAAAATATTATGCCACTATTTGTTCTAAATATAGGGGACATACAACTTGCAGGACTGGCCAAGATGAAGCAAGCCCACTAACCCATGCCGCCCACTAATTACAGGTTAAATTTCTGCACAGAATACAAAAACCAACTATTTGAGGTTCTGCAAAGAAAACAGTATCAGAGAGATTGACAGTGAAGTCGAAAGTTGAAGAAGTATCCACTGGTAAGTTTCCTGGATTAATTTTTCCTCCTTTATCTCTTGACTTTGATCCAAAAGCAAGTCAAAACTGGGCGCGGTGGCTCACGCCTGTAATCCCAGCAATTCGGGAAGCCGAGGCAGGCGGATCATTTGAGGTCAGGAGTTGGAGACCTCAACACCAGCCAGACCAACATGGTGAAACCCTGTCTCTACTAAAAATACAACAACAACAAAAAAAAATTAGCCGGGCGTGGTGGCGCATGCCTATAGTCCCAGTTACTCAGGAGGCTGTGGCAAGAGAATCACTTGAACCTGGGAGGCGGAGGTTGCAGTGAGCCAAGATCACACCACTGCACTCCAGCCTGGGCAACAGAGCGACACTCCCTCTCAAAAAAAAAAAAAAAAAAAAAAGCAAGTCAAGTCAAGGAACCGCACCCTGGAAGAAGACACCAAAAATTCCAAGAAAAATCCCCCTTTTCTGGCCAGAGGACTGAGACAAGCAGTCCCTAAAAGTGAAGAGTCAGATGGAAGGGCCCAGGAAATTTTTTTCTTTTTTTCTCTCTTACTTTCTACCTGCCCTGCTCTAGGGCCAGCCCAGTCATGAGGTTACACTGCTACTGGGCAATATAAGCCCCTAAAATCCCAAGAAATAACCCTTCTACCTGGCCAAAGAAAGTGGGAATAAAAGGGTTCTATGGTCTACAGAGTGTAAGGGAGATTTGATTTATTTTTTATTTTTTTGAGAAATGGGGTCTTGCTACATTGCCTAGGCTGCTCTCAAACTCCTGGTTCAGTCGATCCTCCCATCTCGGCCTTCTGAGTAGCTGGGACTAGAGGCAAGGTTCTGATTTTTTTTTTTTTTTTGAGATAGGGTTTTGCTCAATGATATGATCACAGCTCACTGCAGCCTCAACCTCCCAGGCTCAATTGATCCTCCTGCCTCAGCCTGCCAAGTAGCTGGGACTACAGGCGTGCACCACCACACCCGGCTAATTTTTGTATTTTTAGTAAAGATGGGGCTTCGCCACATTGCCCAGGCTGGTCTTGAACTCCTGGGCTCAGGCGATCCACCTACCTCAGCCTCCCAAAGTGCTGGGATTACAGGCTTGAGCCACCACACCCAGCCTCTGATTATTTTTATCTTCCTTTTCTCTTGTTTTGCTCTGAGGCCAGACCCAGTTATGAAGAACTGCAAAATAGCAAAATCACGTATGTGGTGTGGGAGGGTAAAGCTCTGAGACACATCCATCTTCTGACAAGACACCTGGGAAAAAGCACCCCTGAGATCAAGGGTGTGAAAGAAATCCCAGAGAGAAGAGAGTTGAAAAAAAGAGATCCTATAAATCTGTGTATGCATCAGCACAAGTCCCGGCTCACTCAGGAAATGCTCATGCGTAAAACACACCCAAAGAAACATGGCTTCGAGAATTAAACTACAACTTGAAGAACCACGTAAGTCCCATACTAACTCCTGAAAAGTGTGTATGTGGGGCAGATACAAACAGCATAGCAAAGGCTTTGAAAACTTAACTGATACTGTTACCACTACTCACAAAAGACAGGACAGACTTGCCCTCTGAGCCTGATTTGCTTGGCTGTCTGCTTTTTAAAGAAAAGAAAAGGAAAGAAATTTCAACCTTTTCCAGCAGATTTTAACAGGATTCAGAATCTCACAACATAATGTTCAAAATACATAGGACATAGGGCCGGGTGCGGCGGCTCACACCTGTAATCCCAGCACTTTGGGAGGCCACAGCAGGCGGATCACTGGAGGTCAGGAAGGAATTTGAGACCAGCTTGGCCAACATGGTAAAACCCCTTCTCTACTAAAAATACAAAAATCAGTCATGATGGCAAGCACCTGTAATCCCAGCTACTTGGGAGGTTGAGGCAAGAGAATTGCCTGAACCTGAGAGGTGGAGGTTGTACTGAGCGGAGATCACGCCACTACATTCCAGTTTGGGCAACAGAGCAAGACCTTATCTCAAAAAAACAAAAAAGTACACAGGATATAATCCAAAATTATTCATCATACTAAACAAATAGTTAAAACACAATCAATAGATGCCAACCCCCAGACAATTCAGATGTTGGAATTATCAGACACAACTTTAAAGCAGCTCCCTAAGTAAGTGGGAACACTGTTGAAATGAATGAAAAGACAGACATTTTTAGAAGTAAAAATTTTGGAAAAAATGTGAATTTTAGACTTGAAACACAGAATAATTGAAATTTTTTTAAAAATTCACTAGATGAGTAAAAATAACAAAACGTAGATGACAACAAAATGACTCAAACTGGAAGAGAGAATGATCTTGTAGAGATAATAAAATTGAGAATAGGTGAAAAGAGCTTAAAGATACCTGGGACAATATCAAAAGATCTAATATTCATGTCACTGCAGTCAAACAATGAGTGAAGAAAGAGAAAGAGATTGGTACAGAAAAAAAATATTGAAAGAAAGAATGGCTGAAAACTTCCCATGTATGGCGAAAGACATTAGGTACTGATTACAGAAGTTCATCAAATCCCAAGCAAAATAAACTCAAAGAAAAGAATACCCACACAACAATCAAACTGCCAAAAATCAAAAATAAAGAAAAACAATCTTGAGACTAGCCGGAGAAAATCAACACATGACCCATCTACAGGAAAATGTGACGAGAATGAGTCCAATTTCTCATCATGAATGATGGAAGTCAGAAGACAATGGAAAAAAATCCTTAAAGATTTTAAATTCTATCCAATGAAAGTCTATATCCAATAAAATACCATTTAGAAATAAAGGGGAAATAAAGACATTCTCAGTGAAGGAAAAAAGAGACAGAAAAAAATACTTTATCAGCAGAAAATGTTCTCTAAAATAAATGCTAAAGGAAATGCTTCAGGTGGAAGGAAAATGATGGCAAAAGAAAACCTGGAACTTTAAGAATAAAGAGAGAGCTAAAGAAATGATAAATATCTGGATAAATATGACAAATGATTTGTCTCTGCTTAACTTCTTCATAATTAGAATGACTGTTGAAAGCAAAAATTAAAATGATTTTTTTTTTTTGAGATGGAGTCTCACTCTGTCGCCCAGGCTGGAGTGCAGTGGTGCCATCTTGGCTCACTGCAAGCTCTGCCTCCTGGGTTCACGCCATTCTCCTGCCTCAGCCTCCTGAGTAGCTGGGACCACAGGTACCCGCCATCACACTCAGCTAATTTTTTGTATTTTTAGTAGAGACGGGTTTTCACCGTGTTAGCCAGGATGGTCTCGGTCTCCTGACCTCGTGATCCGCCCGCCTCAGCCTCCCAAAGTACTGGGATTACAGGCGTGCGCCACCGCGCCTGGTCAAAATGATGTTTTTATGTATGTAGATGTAATAAATATAAAAACTATGAAGAGGAAACACTAAACAAGTCTATTTGGTTATAGGACTTTTAGATTTTCTTCAGGTGATAAAATGCTACCTTAAAGTAGGCTGTGAATGGTAGGTATGTATATTATAAATCCTGGCCAGGTGCAGTGGCTCACGCCTGTAATTCCAGCACTTTGGGAGGCTGAGATGGGCGGATTACGATCTCAGGAGATCAAGACCATCCTGGCTAACAACGTGAAACCCTGTCTCTACTAAAAAATACAAAAAATTACGATGTCAGGAGATCAAGACCATCCTGGCTAACAACGTGAAACCCTGTCTCTACTAAAATATACAAAAAATTAGCCAGGCGTGGTGGTGGGTGCCTGTAGTCCCAGCTACTCAGGAGGCTGAGGCAGGAGAATGGTGTGAACCCGGGAAGCAGAGCTTGCAGTGAGCCGAGATCGCGCCAAGCCTGGGCAACAGAGCGAGACTCCATCTCAAAAAAATAAATAAATAAATAAATAAATAATCCCTACAAAACACACACACATAAACACCACGAAAGAAAGAGTCAGTAAAGACTCAGTAGAGATAAAGTTTAAATTGGATATGAAATATATCATATACCTCTCCCGCTCCCTCTCCCTCTCCCTCTCCCCACGGTCTCCCTCTCCCTCTCTTTCCACGGTCTCCCTCTGATGCCCAGCCAAAGCTGGACTGTACTGCTGCCATCTCGGCTCACTGCAACCTCCCTGCCTGATTCTCCTGCCTCAGCCTGCCGAGTGCCTGCGATTGCAGGCGTGATCCGCCACGCCTGACTGGTTTTCGTATTTTTTTGGTGGAGACGGGGTTTCGCTGTGTTGGCCGGGCTGGTCTCCAGCTCCTAACTGCGAGTGATCCGCCAGCCTCGGCCTCCCGAGGTGCCGGGATTGCAGACGGAGTCTCATTCACTCAGTGCTCAATGGTGCCCAGGCTGGAGTGCAGTGGCCTGATCTCGGCTGGCTACAACCTCCACCTCCCAGCCGCCTGCCTTGGCCTCCCAAAGTGCCGAGATTGCAGCCTCTGCCCGGCCACCACCCTGTCTGGGAAATGAGGAGCGTCTCTGCCTGGCCGCCCATCGTCTGAGAAGTGAGGAGCCCCTCTGCCCGGCCACCCAGTCTGGGAAGTGAGGAGCGCCTCTTCCCGGCCGCCCATCATCTGAAATGTGGGGAGCACCTCTGCCCCACCGCCCCGTCTGGGATGTGAGGAGCGCCTCTGCCCAGCCGCGACCCCGTCTGGGAGGTGAGGAGCGTCTCTGCCCAGCCGCCCCGTCTGAGAAGTGAGGAGCCCCTCCACCCGGCAGCCGCCCCGACTGAGAAGTGAGGAGCGTCTCCGCCCGGCAGCCACCCCGTCTGGGAAGTGAGGAGCGTCTCCGCCCGGCAGCCACCCCATCTGGGAGGGAGATGGGGATCAGCCCCCACCAGGCCAGCCGCCCCGTCTGGGAGGCAGGTGGGGGGTCAGCCCCCGCCCGGCCAGCCGCCCCGTCCGGGAGGGAGGTGGGGGGTCAGCCCCCGCCCGGCCAGCCGCCCTGTCCGGGAGGGAGGTGGGGGGCGCCTCCGCCCGGCCAGCCGCCCCGTCTGGGAGGTGGTGGGCGCCTCTGCCCGGCCGCCCCTTCTGGGAAGTGAGGAGCCCCTCTGCCCGGCCACCACCCCGTCTGGGAGGTGTACCCAACAGCTCATTGAGAACGGGCCATGATGACAATGGCGGTTTTGTGGAATAGAAAAGGGGGAAAGGTGGGGAAAATATTGAGCAATCAGATGGTTGCTGTGTCTGTGTGGAAAGAAGTGGACATGGGAGACTTTTCATTTTGTTCTGTACTAAGAAAGATTCTTCTGCCTTGGGATCCTGTTGATCTATGACCTTGCCCCCAACCCTGTGCTCTCTGAAACATGTGCTGTGTCCACTCAGGGTTAAATGGATTAAGGGCGGTGCAAGATGTGCTTTGTTAAAAAGATGCTTGAAGGCAGCATGCTCGTTAAGAGTCATCACCACTCCCTAATCTTAAGTACCCAGGGACACAAACACTGCGGAGGGCCGCAGGGTCCTCTGTCTAGGAAAACCAGAGACCTTTGTTCACTTGTTTGTCTGCTGACCTTCCCTCCACTATTGTCCTGTGACCCTGCCAAATCCCCCTCTGCGAGAAACACCCAAGAATGATCAATAAAAAAAAAAAAAAAGAAAAAAAAAGGAAATATATCATATAACACAAAAGAAGGCAGGAAAGGGTGAAGACAGGAACAAAAACCAGAAGAGATCAACGCAAAGCAAATAATAAAATAGTAGGCCCACTATTTACTCTAATAATAATTAGAGTAAATGTAAATGGCTCAAATACATCAATAAAAAGATACAGATTATTAGACTGGATTTCCAAAAGCTAGTTCAAATATATGCTATCTATAAGAAACACCTATAATGATATATATATAAGGTCAGTTAAAAGGATGGGAGAAGAAGTATCATGCATACTAACCAAAAGAAAAATGAATATAAATAGCAAACAAAGTAAACTTCAGAACAAGAACATCCATGAAAAAGAGGATTGTCATATAATGATAAAAGAATAAATTCACCACAAAGAAGTAACAATATTAAATGTGTACCTATCTAAAAACAGGGCTTCAAAATATGTGAGGCAATAACTGAAAGAAAAATAGGACAAATCCAACATTATACTTGGATGGTTATTTCAACACCCCTTTCTTGGTAACAAATAGAACAAGCAGACAGAAAATTGGCGGGGATACAGAAGTCCTGCATGATACTATTAAATGTTTTTACCTAATTTACACTCTACTCACTAATGGCAGAACACAAAGTCTTTTTAAGCACACATGGAACATTCAACAAGATATACTACATATATAAATCAAACTTTATCATAAAACAAACTTTAAATTAAAAAAAATCACAAAGTATGTTATCTGACTGTAATTTACTTAAGCCAGAAATCAATATCAGATTATGTAGATTATTCTCAAATATGTGGAAAGCAAACAACTCACTTCTAAATAGTCCAAAAGTCAAAGACAGGCAAGTTAGAAAACATCTTGAATTAACTGAAATAAAAATACAAAGTACCAAAAATTTGTGGAATATAGCTTGGAGAGAAATGTATGACATTAAGTGCTTATATGAGAAATAAGAAAGATCTAAAATCAAACATATAACATTTCACTTCAAGAAACTAGAAAAAGAAGAGCAAATTTAACCCAAATTTGGCAGAAGGAAAGAACATATAAGGATAAGAACAGGAATCAATGAAATTGAAAACAGAAAAACAATAAAGCAAATCAATCAAACTATAAGCTGTCTCTTTTAAAAGATATAGAAAACTGATAAACCTCTAGCCAAGCTGATTTTAAAAAGAGAACACAAATTACCAATCTTAAGAATGAATAAAGCTCTCCCCCTCCCCCTCCCCCTCCCCCTCCCTCTCCCTCTCCCCACGGTCTCCTTCCACGGTCTCCCTCTGATGCCGAGCCAAAGCTGGACGGTACTGCTGCCATCTCGGCTCACTGCAACCTCCCTGCCTGATTCTCCTGCCTCAGCCTGCCGAGTGCCTGCGATTGCAGGCGCGCGCTGCCACGCCTGACTGGTTTTCGTTTTTTTTTGGTGGAGACTGGGTTTTGCTGTGTTGGCCGGGCTGGTCTCCAGCTCCTAACCGCGAGTGATCCGCCAGCCTCGGCCTCCCGAGGTGCCGGGATTGCAGACGGAGTCTCGTTCACTCAGTGCTCAATGGTGCCCAGGCTGGAGTGCAGTGGCGTGATCTCAGCTCACTACAACCTACACCTCCCAGCCGCCTGCCTTGGCCTCCCAAAGAGCCGAGATTGCAGCCTCTGCCCGGCCGCCACCCCGTCTGGGAAGTGAGGAGCGTCTCTGCCTGGCCGCCCATCGTCTGGGAGGTGAGGAGCCCCTCTGCCTGGCTGCCCAGTCTGGAAAGTGAGGAGCGTCTCTGCCCAGCCGCCATCCCATCTAAGAAGTGAGGAGCGTCTCTGCCCGGCCGCCATCCCAACTAGGAAGTGAGGAGCATCTCTGCCTGACCCGCCCATCGTCTGAGTGGGGAGCGCCTCTGCCCCGCCGCCCTGTCTAGGATGTGAGGAGCGCCTCTGCTGGGCCGCAACCCTGTCTGGGAGGTGAGGAGCGTCTCTGCCCGGCCACCCCGTCTGAGAAGTGAGGAAACCCTCTGCCTGGCAACCGCCCCGTCTGAGAAGTGGGGAGCCCCTCCGTCCGGCAGCCACCCCATCTGGGAAGTGAGGAGCCTCTCCGCCCGGCAGCCACCCCGTCCGGGAGGGAGGTGGGGGGGGGTCAGCCCCCCACCCGGCCAGCCGCCCCGTCCGGGAGGTGAGGGGCTCCTCTGCCCGGCCGCCCCTACTGGGAAGTGAGGAGCCCCTCTGCCCGGCCAGTTGCCCCGTCCAGGAGGGAGGTGGGGGGGTCAGCCCCCCACCCGGCCAGCCGCCCAGTCCGGGAGGGAGGTGGGGGGTCAGCCCCCCGCCCGGCCAGCCGCCCCGTCCGGGAGGGGGGAGGGGGGGTCAGCCCCCTGCCCGGCCAGCCGCCCCGTCCGGGAGGGAGGTGGGGGGATCAGCCCCCCGCCTGGCCAGCCGCCCCGTCCGGGAGGTGAGGGGCGCCTCTGCCCGGCCGCCCCTACTGGGAAGTGAGGATCCCTCTGCCCGGCCAGCCGCCCCGTCCGGGAGGGAGGAGGGGGGTCAGCCCCCCGCCCGGCCAGCCGCCCCGTCCGGAAGGGAGGTGGGGGGATCAGCCCCCCGCCCGGCCAGCCGCCCTGTCCGGGAGGTGAGGGGCGCCTCTGCCCGGCCGCCCCTACTGGGAAGTGAGGAGCGCCTCTGCCCGGCCAGCCGCCCCGTCCGGGAGGGAGGTGGGGGGGTCAGCCCCCCGCCTGGCCAGCCACCCCATCCGGGAGGGAGGTGGGGAGGTCAGCCCCCTGCCCGGCCAGCCGCCCCGTCCGGGAGGGAGGCGGGGGGGGGGGGGTCGGCCAGCCGCCCCGTCCGGGAGGGAGGTGGGGGGGTCAGCCCCCCGTCCGGGAGGTGAGGGGCGCCTCTGCCCGGCCGCCCCTACTGGGAAGTGAGGACCCCTCTGCCCGGCCAGTCGCCCCGTCCGGGAGGGAGGTGGGGGGGTCAGCCCCCCGCCCGGCCAGCCGCCCTATCCAGGAGGTGAGGGGCGCCTCTGCCCGGCCGCCCCTACTGGGAAGTGAGGACCCCTCTGTCTGGCCAGCCGCCCTGTCCGGGAGGGTGGTGGGGGGGTCAGCCCCCCGCCCGGCCAGCCGCCCTATCCAGGAGGTGAGGGGCGCTTCTGCCCGGCCACCCCTACTGGGAAGTGAGGAGCCCCTCTGCCCGGCCACCACCCCGTCTGGGAGGTGTGCCCAGCGGCTCATTGGGGATGGGCCATGATGACAATGGCGGTTTTGTGGAATAGAAAGGCGGGAAGGGTGGGGAAAAAATTGAGAAATCGGATGGTTGCCGGGTCTGTGTAGAAAGAAGTAGATATGGGAGACTTTTCATTTTGTTCTGTACTAAGAAAAATTCTTCTGCCTTGGGATCCTGTTGATCTGTGACCTTAACCCCAACCCTGTGCTCTCTGAAACATGTGCTGTGTCCACTCAGGGTTAAATGGATTAAGGGCGGTGCAAGATGTGCTTTGTTAAACAGATGCTTGAAGGCAGCATGCTCGTTAAGAGTCATCACCACTCCCTAATCTTAAGTACCCAGGGACACAAACACTGCGGAAGGCCGCAGGGTCCTCTGCCTAGGAAAACCAGAGACCTTTGTTCACTTGTTTATCTGCTGACCTTCCCTCCACTATTGTCCTGTGACCCTGCCAAATCCCCCTCTGCGAGAAACACCCAAGAATGATCAATAAAAAAAAAAAATAAAAAATAAAAAATAAAAAAAGAATGAATAAAGACATATCACTACAGACCCTATAGACATTAAAGGGCTAATAAAAGAACATTATGAACAACCCTAAGCCCAAGTATGAGACAACTCCAATCAGATGTGAGCAAATATTTTTGTAATGGGCAAGCAGCAAATATTTAAAATTTGTTGGTCATATGGTCTCTGTCATAACTATTCCACTCTGCCATTATAGTGCAAAGGTAGCCATGGACAATAAGCAAATGAACAGGCATGGCTGTGTTCCAATAAAACTTTATTCATAAAAAGAGGTGGCTGGCCTGTGGGCTTCAGTTTGCTAATGCTTAGCTTTGCGTAGCTTAGATGAAATAGACCAGTTCTTTAGTAGATAAAAACTACCACTTGAGAAAAAACAGGCAATCTGGATATACTACTGTATCTAGTAAAGAAATTGAGTTTGTAGTTAAAGTCCTTCCAAAAAAGAAAACTGAAGGTCCAAGTAATTTCACTGATGAATTGCACCAAGAATTTAAGTAAAAAATAATACCAATTCTACACCATTTCTTCTAGAAAACAGAAGAGAAGGAAATACTTTGCAACTCATTTTGTAAGTCAAGGATTCCTTTGATATCAAAATCAGACAAAGACATTAAAAGTTATACACTGCTGGTAGGAATATAAAATAGTACCAATATTCTCCATGAGCACAGACACAAAACTTCTTAACAAACTGTTACCAAATGGGATCCAGCAATATATAATAAAAAAAAATACACCACAACTACGTGATATGCATTTCAAGAATACAAAGCGGGTTCAACATTCAAAAATCAACCGATATAATCTACCATTTTAACAGACTAAGAAAAGCCATATGACATCTCAACAGACACATAAAAAGTATTTCATAATATTCAATATCCACATATGACTTAAAACAACTTCAGCAAACTAGAAATAGAAAGCAAACTTCCTTAACTAGATAAAGAGGATCTACAAAATTCCTACAGCTAACATCATACTTTAGGGTAAAAGCCTGAATGGTTTCTGTTCAGGTCAAGAATAAGGCAAAGAAGGATGTCTGCTCTCTCATCATTTCTATGTCCTATTCAGCATCACACTGAAAGTCCTAGTGAGGACAATAAAGCAAGGCATACAGATTGAAAAGGATAAAATATATCTCTGTTTGCAGATAACATGATTGTTTATGTTTTTAAAAATCTCAAAGAACTGACCCAAAAAAAGCATCTAGAACTATTAAGTGAGTTTGGCAAGGTCACAGCATACACATAAAAACCAACTATGTTTCTATATACGAGCAATGAACAATTGGAAATAAAAATTTTAAAAATAATACTATTCACAACAGCTGCAAAAATAAAATGCTTGGGTGTAAACATTACTATAACAACGTACATACAGGATAAAATGCTGAAAACTATAAAACATTGATTAAAGAAATCAAAGAAAACCAAAATAAATGGACAGATCATGTCTATGAACTGGAAGGTCAATACTACAAAGATATTAGTTTTTCCAAAGTTGATGTACAGATTCGATGCAATCCCAATTCAAATCCCAGCAAGTCTGCTGTAGAAACTGACAAGATAGTCTTAACATTTATATGGAAAGGCAACATCTATAAAGAACTCTCAAAATTCCACAAGAAAAACAACGTGGTTTTTAAACACGGGTAAATGATTTGAACAAACACTCCATTAAAGATATACAGATGGCAAACAGGCAGATGAAAAGATGCTCAAACTCATAAGTTATTAGGGAATTGAAAATTCATACCATAGTGAGATATCACTACATGACTATTAATTTGACTAGAATGTTTTAAAAACTGACAATAACAAGAGCTAACAAGAATATAGAGCAACAGCATCATGATACGCTGCTGGTGCAAATACAAAATGGCATAGATGCTTTGGAAAACAGTTTAGCAATTTCTGACAAGGTTCAATAAATACTTACATATGACCCAGCAATCCCACTCCTAGCTATTTATTTACCCAAGATAAATGAAAACATATGTTCACATAGAAACCTATAGGCAAATGCTTGTAACAGCTATATTCAAAATCATTAAAACTGGAGGCTGGGCGCGGTGGCTCACGCCTGTAATCCCAGCACTTTGGGAGGCTGAGGTGGGTAGATCACGAGGTCAGGGGTTCAAGACCAGCCTGGCCAGGATGGTGAAACCCCGTCTCTACTAAAAATACAAAAATTAGCCAGGCGTGGTGCTGCACAACTGTAATCCCAGCTACTCAGGAGGCTGAGGCAGAGAATTGCTTGAACCCAGGAGGCAGAGCTTGCAGTAAATCAAGATGACGCCACTGCACTCCAGCCTGGATGACAGAGCAAGATTCTGTCTCAAAAAACAAACAAACAAACTGGAAAGAACCTCAAAGCCCTTCAACTGAGAATGGTGAAACAAACCCTTCACCACCATACAATGGCTTACCATTCAGCAACGAAAAGGAACAGACTGTTGATACATGCAACGACATGGATGAATCTCCAAAGAAATTATGCTAAGAGAAAGAAGCTGTATACTGTTAAGAGTATTACATTCTAGAAAAGGAAAACTATGGCCCTGCACGGTGGCTCACGCCTGTAATCCCAACGCTTTGGGAGGCCGAGGCAGGGGGATCACAAGGTCAGGAGAGCGAGACCATCCTGGCTAACATGGTGAAATCCCATCTCTACTAAAAATACAAAAAAAATTAGCCGGGTGCTGTGGCAGGCGCTTATAGTCCCAGCTACTGGAGAGGCTGAGGCAGGAGAATGGCGTGAACCCGGGAGGTGAAGCTTGCAGTGAGCCAAGATCGCGCCACTGCACTCCGGCCTGAGAAAAAGAGCGAGACTCTGTCTCAAAAAAAAAAAAGAGGAAGGGGAATATCACACTCTGGGGACTGTGGTGGGGTCGGGGGAGGGGGGAGGGATAGCATTGGGAGATATACCTAATGCTAGATGACGAGTTAGTGGGTGCAGCGCACCAGCATGGCACATGTATACATATGTAACTAACCTGCACAATGTGCACGTGTACCCTAAAACTTAAAGTATAATGAAAAAAAAAAAGAAAAAAAAAAAAAAAGAAAAGGAAAACTATAGGCAAAGCGAACTATAGAGAAAGGCTGCCGAGGCTTCGGGCTGGACAGATAGTTGGACTGCAAAGGAGTAACACAGGGGAATCTGGCGAAGTTATGGGAATGTTCTGTATCCGATTGTGGTGGTGGTAATATGATTCTATGCCTGTGTCAGAATTCAGACTGCACACCGTAAGAGTCATTTTTACTGCATATAAATTTAAAAACTTTTTTTAAAAAGAAAGGCTAGGCCAGGTGTGGTGGCTCATGCTGTAATCCCAGCACTTTGGGAGGCCAAGGGGGGTGGATCACCTGAGGTCAGGAGTTCGAGACCAGCCTGGCCAACATGGCGAAACCCCGTCTCTACTAAAAATAAAAAATAAAAAAAAAAAATTAGCCAGGTGTGGTGGTGCACACCTGTAGTCCCAGCTAGTCAGGAGGCTGAGGCAGGAGAATCACTTGAACCCAGGAGGCAGAGGCTGCAGTGAGCCAAGATTATACCACTGCGTTCCAGCCTGGGCGACAGAGTGAGACTTGGTCTCAAAAATAAAATAAAATAAAACACAATAAAATAAAATAAAGGCTATAAACGTATACCAGTAAATACACGGCACTAGCCATGTACCACACATTGTATTAGACACTTCTTATTGAGTGGGGAAAGCGAATAATATCATTTCTTCTTTCAAGCTGCAAGACAGCTTTGACTGAAGCCTATGCTAGCTTCGTACTCTGTAAAACCTACATCAGGGAACCCATGGAACTAAGTTGTTACTAAAACATAATTATCAATAATACAGACTTTGAGGCAAGGCCAAACTACGAGCTGAAATCCTGCCTGCCCCACATACTTCTTGACTTTAGGCCTTATCTGTAAAAAGGAAATAACACTCCTATCTCTATCTCACCATGTCATCTTGCTAATTAAATTCACTAGTGTGAACCCACAGGGCAGTGTGTAGCATCTAGGCTAGAACTGAAGGGACATTATTCTTTTCATCATTGTGGTGGTAAGTGCTCTGTGCTACCTTAGAAATTTTTATTTACTTGATGCACACACTTCCAAATGTGGCCCAAAGGAGACCCACATTGCTACCGAATTTGCATAATAAGTAGTGTGATATTATAAGCAATATATGTGTGTGCAGGGTTAGCAGTGTGCTAGCAATCTATAACGTGTTCCATCACCCTCTTGCCTCATAGTGGAAGCAGCGAGATAAAACAGCTGGTTGCTATGAGCATTCACATTAATGAAATCTCACCACTGCCACGCCGCACTCCAGCTGAAAAGCACTTTCAGATCCATTATGCCATTACCTCATCATAGCAAGTCAGGGAAACTCTGTTCTCTCTAGGGGGGCAGTGACAAATGCCTGTGTGCAGATGGCATCATTCATAATCCTAGTGGTATCCAGCACAGCCCACCGCTGCAGTCAAGCGAACAGAGAGGCATAAATGTTTGAAGTGAACACAGATGAATGTAGAGATACAGCCACATCCATCACTTGCACTTTCCCTACTTTTGAGTTTTGAATTCACTCTAAACACTGGATAATGCACCATCAGTTCAGCAAACACTGATCACATCGTTTTTGATTTCGCTTTTGTTTTAGACAGGGGCTCCCTCTGTCACCCAGAATGGAGTATAGTGGCATGATCACGGCCCACTGAAGCCTCCACCTCCCGGGCTCAAGTGATCCTCCCACCTCAGCCTCCCGAGTAGCTGGGGCTACAGATGCATGCCACCACACCTGGCTCATTTTTTAATTTTTCTTTTTTTGGATTTTTGTAGAGACGTAGTTTCACCATGTTGCCCAGGCTGGTCTCGAACTCCTGGACTCAAGCAATCTGACTGCCTCGGCCTCCAAAGTGCTGGGATTACAGGCATGAATCACCACGCCCGGCCTAATTAAGTACTTTTTATAAAGTCAAAGGCTCTGCCCTCAAGAAGCTCACATATTCATAACAGGCCTTACTTTATAGGCCCACTGCACATTGTATGACTTGACCAACTACAGGTTCAGCACTGAAAGGCTGACAAAGCCCACAGATTTACAACAGTGTTGCTTTGCTCCCCAAAGACCCACACGATTCATTTATGGCCTGTCCAAAGAACTCAAAAGCCTGTCATCATGCCTTCCCCAGGGCTGCCCGCGTCCAGGGTGGCTGTGTCCTCACTCCCCATCCTGACACATCTTGTGGAGCACATTCAGGAAGGCCTCTTGTTGGTCAAGAGGCAGAAAAATAAAAGGCCAGGCAATAAAGCCAGCAAAACACCTGGCTAGGCAGCTGCAGCCAGAAACACTTGATTCAGGGAATATGACAAAGACGGATCCCCTTTCAGAATTTCCTCTTCTGAGCTGGCCTGGGCAGTCAATCCAAACCTCTCCTGCTCGTGAGGGAAAGACAACACCATCCCCACTGTGTTCCTCCAGGTGTGTGCTGTTAATTCGGCTCGGAAAAAGAAAACAACTGAGGCAAAGTCAAACAAAGTATGCTCGCTCCGGTCCATCTATTATGGGAACTGTCAATATTAGCCCCATGTGGTCGGCTTGCTTTCCCTGTTGCAGTCTCAGAACACCCTGAAATCACCTGGACCAGGAACCTTCTTTCCCTCGGAAATAAGCAAACACTCGTACCAGCTTTAGTGAGCTTTTATGAGCACAATCTCTCTTCTCAGCTGAACAAAACACAAAGATTGACCATCCACTGTGCCACACTCCCAGGCTTGATGACAGCTACAAAGGGGCACCTGGAAATCAGAAAACGATGCCCCAGTAGCCACTACGGAGTCTAATTCCTGGAAGCCAAAGTGAAGCCTTATCTATGAAAATAAAGACATGCCACATTTAGTAATGCTTCAGTAATGAGCTCCGAGTCTCCCAACGGGCAGCTGCTGAGGCAGAAGAATCGCTTGAACCCGGGAGGCGAAGGTTGCAGTGAGCCGAGATTGCATCACTGCATTCCAGCCTGGGCGACAGAGCAGGGCTCCATCTCAAAAAAATAATAATAATAAACAGTAAAGCAGGTTTTTGCTGGTGATGGAGACTCCGGGTTTGTCTGAAACCAGTGACAACGTAAGGTAGTGTTTTCTACTGCTTTAACTTCTCCCCAACGAATCAGAATTCCTAAAAGTCCACGTCCTGTGTAAGCACAGCTCCGTTTATTCCAGTACCTCTTTTGGAAGGGGTTTTATAAATGTTTTGATGAGCTGACACGTTTTGATACTTATTTGTGCTCTCATGCTAAAGTCACCAGGCACTGGGCTTTTTATCACCTCTAATATGCTAGGGTATAGCAGAGGTCCCTTTAGCATAATGCCCAGTTACAATTTCCAGCTGCTTTTCCAAACACATCTGGTTTCATTTGCACCTTTCCAACAACTCTATGGGGAACACCAGACAGGTATCTTTACACCCATTGCACAGATGAAGAAACTGAGAGTCCAAACACACTGTGGGTGAACTCGTTCAGCTTCTTCACGGCATGGAGCCAGGGAGCTCCAAGCTCACAGGACGGGTACATACTCCCCACTGCTGGAGATGCCGCTGGCTTGGCGAGAGGTTATACATTCATCGTCATGATCACTGTAGTGGAAAGAAAGTCTCGTGTCTATCCAGGAGAGCCGATCCTTCTGGGCGGCCCATGGGTTCTGCATACTGCAGCACATTTGAATCACCCAAGGGACTGATTTAAAGCAAACAAATAAACAATGTCTGGGCATCACCCAAAGATTCTGATCCAACTGGATTGGAGGAGGACCCAGATATGTGGTTTTTTTGTTTGTTTGTTCGTTTTTTGAGACAGGGTCTCACTCTGCTGCCCAGGCTAGAGTGTGGTGGAGCGATCACCACTCACTACAGCCTCAACATCCTGGGCTCAAGCGATCCTTCTGCCTTAGCCTCCCAGGTAGCTGGGGCCACAAGCATGCACCACCACACCTGACCAATTTGTTTATTTATTATTTTTTTTTGTAGAGACAGGGTCTCTCTGTGTTGCCCAGGCTGGTCTCAAATTGCTGGGCTCAAGAGACTGTCCAGCCTCAGCCTCCCAAAGTGCTGGGATTCCAGGCATAAGCTACTGTGCCTGGCCATGGATATTAATTTTTAAAGTTCCCCAGGAGATTCCAATTTGCTGCCACAGTTGAAAACCTCTGGCCTCCAGCCCTACCAGGTCAGCAGTAACTGAGCTGACTCCCACATCTGCATGGTAATCCATAAAGGCAGAGGAAGACAGACGTTCCATTGCCCAAACCCAGATTCCCCGTCACCCAGAGCATACTAAATTGGGAGCTAGGCAGATACCAATGAAGAAAAATGTGAGCATATTTACAACAAAGCAGGCCACTGAATGCAAACTAAAATTCCGCATCCCGTGTAAGTGCTGCAAGAATGAAAAGTGGAGGTCAAACCACCCTGCTTGAGAATCTGAGTCTTTTGCACAGCCTCCCAGAGCCGAGTCCTTTCCCTCCTCCAGTCTCCGTTTCTTAGCAGAGCAGGGACCGCCTTGAAGAAATGAGAAATCAATTGTGTGTGCTCTGCTGAATTAAGGCTTTTCCAGGCTTGTCGATCTGCATTCATTTGCATGCATTGGCACTGTCTTCCCTACAGAATGAATTCACAGGAATCCAGAAAATGCCACGCTTGTACATTTGTGTCCCCACCACTTCCTGCAGAAGCCGCTCCTGTGATTCATTCAGGAGTGGCCAGAATGAAATCTCCTGTCATTGGTGACTCTTGGGAAGCACTGAATTCGTAGGGGGGTCCCGGAGGTGGCACTGGCAGCAAGACCACAAGTTCCCTTGGCAAAGAGTCTGATTCTGCCTGACTTGCTTGCAGCCACAGTAGTGAAAATACATTCAGTTCTCAGATGTGCTTGTTCGAAGGAGTGTTTGTGTGGTAGGTAAAAGGAAATGATTAAACAAGATCTTTAGACAACTTCGGAACTGGCTTCAAAATGCCCACGTGGCTACACTCTTTTATTATTATTTTTTTTTAGACGGAGTCTTGCTCTGTCACCCAGGCTGGAGTGCAGTGGCACAATCTCAGCTCACTGCAACCTCCGCCTCCTGGGTTCAAGCAATTCTCCTGCCACGGCCTCCCAAGTAACTCGGATTACAGGTATGTGCCACCACGCCCAGCTAATTTTTGTATTTTTTAGTGGAGATGAGTTTTTGCTATGTTGGCCAGGCTGGTCTTGAACTCCTGGTCTCAAATGATCCGCCTGCCTTAGCCTCCCAAAGTGCTGGGATTACAGACGGGAGCAACCCCAAACCCTCTTAAACTGAACAGTGGATATCTTGAGCTAAGGGCCCACAGGGCACATTCATTGATACTGAAGGCTCAGTTTGGTTCTTATCTGCCTACATGATTTCTGTCTGAAAGCCTGACTTTCCTTCCTACAGTAATAAAAGCAGGTAACACCTCAGAATCTTATTTTCAGTGATCCCAGCCCACATAGGAAACAGGCGCCCAGCCTAGGAGGCTGTTTAACTCAGGCCTTCATGTAATTCACCCAGTTCCATGTGGCTACTTTTGAGTCACAATCACCAATGATGTCCTGGGTGAACTGAGAAATTGCTACCATGTATTATGTAGAACGGCAGGACTTTACTAGAGCCTGGTTTCAGACAAGAACCACTTAGAAGTCACATTCTTTTTGAAACAGAGTCTCCTTCTGTCACCTAGACTGGAGTGCAGTGGTGCCCTTATGGCTCACTGCAGCCTCAACCTCCCAGGCTCAATTCATCCTCCCACCTCAGCTTCCTGAGTAGCTGAGATGACAGACATGCACCACCACACCTGGATACTCATTTTGTTTCGTTTTTGTAGAAATGGGGTTTCAGCATGTTTCCCAGGCTGGTCTTGAACTCCTGGGCTCAAGTGATCCATCTGCCTTGGCCTCCCAAAGTGCTTGGGTTACAGGCGTGAGCCACTGAACCCAGCCTAGAAGTCCTAGAAGTCACATTCTAAAACCTCAAGGTTCTGGCAGAAAAGAGTGGCATCACTCCACCTGTGTCCAGACAAGCAAATTCACAGCTAAGAGGAAGCTGGCATTCCAGACCAGCTCGTGGAATGATGAAACACTGGTATGGCCAAACCTGGTCTCTAGTGGCTTTTCAAACAAGAGCTGGGTTCCATGTCACAGAATGGCTGTATTAGAAGCCTGGAGCAGGGTAGAGATCAGACCTCAGCAAAGCCAGGTGACAGCCTCTGCCTGGGGCCCCTTCCCATTGGCGGCTGCTAAAGGGAAAGTCGTGCAATTATCCAGAGGAAGGTTCCCCCCTGACCTCTCTCTCTGGGCACCTACTGCTCTCTCTGCACAAGACAAAATGCAATCAGCTGTGAATGGTCAAGACTCTGTCCCCACATCCCCTCTCCAAGGTGATTTATACCAGCAGAACTCCAGCCCAGTCCTCAGTCCTTCCCAGCGGGGTTCCATCAATGAACAGGACAAACGGAAGCAGAAAAGATTTGGGGAGCAGGACAAAGAATTTTCCAGGAGTGTCCTTGTGGCTTATGAATGTGGTTTCCTTTAATCTTCTTAAAGAGAGTCCGGGAAAGAAGGACACCGCATTTTCATGACTTTCAGCTTAAGTGCAAAAAATAAGTCAAGTGGGTCCCCCAAGCCCTCTCCCTCGGCTTTATCAGGGTTATGTGAACTGCAGAGAGGCCTCAGGATGGGGAGTTTAGTTGGGGAGGGAGAAAGGGAGGAGACCCATGTGTTTGCTTTTTTAAAAAACTGTGATAAAATATATGTCACATAAAATTTACCATTTTTACCATTTTCAGCTGTAGAGTTCAGTGGCACTAGGTACATTCACATTGTTGTCCAACCATCACCGCCGTCCACCTCCAGAATTTTTTCATCTTCCCAATGGGAACTGTGCCCACTGAGCAAGAAGTCCCCATTTCCCTTCCCCCCAGTCCCTGGTAACCACCATTGTCCCTACTGTGAAGTTGTCTATTCTGGGTACCTGAGTAAGTGGAATCATAGGACATTTGTCCTTTTGTGTCTGGCCTGTTTCGCTTAGCGCATTCTCAGGTTTCACCCATGCAGCAGCATGGGTCAGAATTTCCTTTTTTTGTAAGGTTGCATAATATTCCACTGCATGGAGAGACCACATTTTGTTTGCTCTTTCATCCGTCAACGGAAATTTGGGTTGTTTCCACCTTTTGGCCTTCATGAATAGCGATGCATTTACTTCCAGAAAGATTCAGCTGAGGTGCCAAGGACATACATAGCACAGAGCTGGAAAGCAGGATTTCTCCCTGAGAACAGGCAGCATCTGGATTTGGGAATCGTCTTCCTAGAGCTGTTTCTCCAAGTGTCTCGGGATGCTCGTTAAAAACACCAGCATCTCAGTCCTACCCCAGGCCTGTCAAATCAACGCGCCAGGGACAGGACCCAGGACTCTGCATTTCACAAGCTTCCCAGGGCATTCAGAGATCTGGGAACAATGTGGCCTGGAAAGTGTGTAGAGGCTTGGGGAAGAGAGGGATGAGAGAAGAGGGGGTGAATTCTAGAATACAAACCTGAGAAGCAGCCACAGACACAGGAAAGAAGCAAGGATCAAAATTCCCTGCCACTGGAGACAGAAAAAGACAAATGCATTATGCAAGGCAGACGGCAAGGAATTAACACGAGAGAAATAAAAGAATTGGGAACCACAGGAAGGGCCCAGCTGAGAAACAGGGGAGGGACCGGGCTGGTGGTTTTCAAGAAACGCAAACCTCAGGACACCACAAGCCCATCCGCAGTGCCTCTGTGCAATGTGAACAAGCATCCTTTCTTCCGGGCGGCCCTCAGCCAAAAACCTACACAGAGGCACACAGTTGCTGGGCCTAAATCAATCTACTAGATCACCCACTCGCCCTCTGTCATTCCTGAAAAAGGAAAAATAGGATTTCCTGATATTACAGGGAAATTATTCTAGCAGAAGAAACCAGGAGGTGAAATTCCCCTTAGACACAACGTACTCCCCCATCTGATTAACAGAAATTAAAAACAAAAAGGGTGCTTCCCTGCTGCTGGCCAGTTCCCTGTTTCTAAGGACAGAATCCTCTAAGCAACAACCTATAGCCTGCAGGCACCATCCAAGCTTATATAAGAAACCTACTGCCACTAGGTCCCAGACTTCAAGAGCTCTTTTAGCCTCTTTGTGTTTCTCCACTCCGTGTATTAGCTTGTGAGATACATTTTGCACATGATCCTGGGAATAAAGAGTCACAGGTAAACAAGGCTGCAAGAAAAGTCCAGGTGGTGTTCACACAGTAGCTGCAAACTTCTCAGAACTTTTCAGAAATTCATCCTTGCCTGTCATTACATTTTTTAATGAGCCACTCAGCATTCCAACGAACAACCCAATACATCATTTCCTCTATTAATTGGTGCAGTTAATTTGAAAACTGTTCTCAGTTCTATATTTATATGGGAAATATTAAGAGTCCATCTCCTTGCTCCTTTTTCATTAATTCCACACACATTCATGGAGCATCACGCTAGGAACTAAGGACATGATGTGACCCGAGGTTGGCAGGTCCTACCCTCGGGCTCGGGGGCACCAAGGGCTAGGTGGGCATGAAAGAGCCCAGGCCGGGCGCGGTGGCTCACGCCTGTAATCCCAGCACTTTGGGAGGCTGAGGCGGGCGGATCACGAGGTCAGGAGACCGAGACCATCCCGGGTAGCACGGTGAAACCCCGTCTCTACTACAAATACAAAAAACTAGCCGGGCGTGGTGGCGGACGCCTGTAGTCCCAGCTACTCGTGAGGCTGAGGCAGGAGAATGGCGTGAACCCGGGAGGCGGAGACTGCAGTGAGCTGAGATCGTGCCACTGCACTTCAGAGTCTGGGCGACAGAACGAGACTCCCCGTCTCAAAAAAAAAAGAAAGAGAGAAAGAGAGAGCCCAGATCTTCCCTTTATTCCTTTATGGTGTGTAGAGAAACTTACATTTCCCTACAATGGTCTAATTCATTATCTTTTCTTTTTGAGACAGAGTCTCACTGTGTTGCTCAGGCTGGAGTGCAATGAGGCAATCTCAGCTCACTGCAACCTCCGTCTCCCAGGTTCAAGCAATTCTCCAGCCTCAGCCTCCTGAGTAGCTGGAATTACAGGCACATGGCACCCCACTCGGCTAGTTTTTGTGTTTTTAGTAGAGACGGGGGTTTCGCCATGTTGGCCAGGCTGGTCTCGAACTCCTGGCCTCAAGTGATCCTCCCACCTCAGCCTCCCAAAGTGCTGGGATTACAGGCATGAGCCACTATGCCCAGCCTCATCCATTATCTTCTCTGATCCTCACAGCAACCTCAGGAAACAAGCTGAACAGGCATCATACACCATTACATGGACGGGAAAATAAAGGCTCAGGAAGTTAACGGACTTGCCATCTTCACACATCTAGGACATGGTGGAGCCTGGAATCAACCTACATTCTCCTTCCGTCTTATCTATGACTCTCATTCAAAAGAATGAATTCTAAATGGTAGATTTCCATTGACATGTGATGTGCGGAGGACTGGAACAAGGGAGGAGGAGGAGGAGGAGGAGGAAGATGACAGCTGTCTGAAAATCATTGGTTTATTAAATCAGCCCTCCTTGGCTTCTTTAGCATCTGGTACACGCTAGAGCATCAAGTCCTGGCCCTAATAAAGACCAAACAGCAATAAAGCCACAAAGAAGAGATCTGACTGCTCTGAGAAGCGTAATTAAATTCTCAGAAAACAGATTCGAGTGCTGGACCATTTGCTTTCAATATTATGTATTCTTTGTTGTGAAAATATGCCAGACAAGCAAGCAATAAAGGAGAGACACTGCTTTTGATGAGCACAATCTAAGCTCATTGTGTAGACCAAGCAAGGAGCCGGATGGACCAACAGCCCAGGAAAGAACCCTCCAGAAAGGAGAGCCTGGGCTCTGAGTGAGAAGCAGCACTGACACTGGTCACATTAGGAGGCTTTTGATCTTCCTTTGAGAGGCTTTCTACACCCGTTTTACTGCCTTTAAAATTATAGTGCAGGCCTAATAGTCTCTATATTCCTATCCAACACTGAGTTTTGCAGAGGAATTTTCACTTCCTTGGCATCCTTGAGAGAAAAGAGGTCAACAAGCTCCTCTACCTACAAACAAGTGCAATTCTTGAAGACTCCCAGGAGCCATCTGTTCTTAACACACATGGCCAACGTGGCCTCCAAGTTTCACTTTGCTCCTCTACAACCGCACGCCTCTTTTCTCTTAGACTGCTCACACGGACGGCTTCTGCATCTATCAGGATAGGATGGGGTTAACAATGCTCACAGAGCACCTCCAACATAAACAGCGATACAGGGAGGAAAATGCCAAGAACTAAAACAAAATGATGATGGTACCTGACTGCCCTGCTGTCAGTTAGAAGCGAGAGTCAGTGGCAGCCTGTGCTTCGAAGCGTTGCTTTGTTGCTACCAATGTTCTTCCAGTTTCTAAGCAGCACCACTTCAGACCCTGCCTGCAAGAGATCCGGGCCCACACCTCAGGAGAGCATCATAGGGGGCAAGAAAGCAGAGGAAGGGGTCATGGAACCTGAGGCTGTGTGCACTGCAGAATTCAAAGGAAAACCTGAGAGGAGCCCCGTCCCGGGAGGTAGTAAGAGAAAGTGGCCTCACCGTCCCGGGAGGTAGTAAGAGAAAGTAGCCTAAAGGTACAAAGAGGGTCTTGACAGGACACGTTCCCAGGGAATCTCAAATTCAGCCTTTCTAGGTTGAACACCATGATGGTCAATTTCATGTCAACCTAACCGGGTTAAGAGGTTCCCAAAAAGCTGGTAAAGCATCGTTTCTAGGTGTGTCTATGAGGCTGTTTCTGGAAGAGATGACCGTTTGAATTGCTAGTGAGTCAAGAAGGTTCACCCTCACCGATGTGGAAAGGCATCACCTAATCTACTGAGGACCAGGGTGGAATGAAAAGGCAGAGGAAGGGTGGGCGACTTCACTTTCTCTTCTTCAGCGGGGCTACCCATCGCCGCCTGACCTCGGACACTGGTGCTCCTGATTCTTGGGTCTTTGGACTCTGGGACTTACACCATGACCACCACCTCCCTCCAAATCCCCCCAGTTCTCCGGCCTCCGGACTTGGACTGTCGGACTGAATTATACCGCTGGCTTTCCTGGGTCTCCAGCTCCTAGATGTGTGTGTGTGTGTGTGTGTGTGTAAAATGTGTATTTGGAACATATTTGTGACATTTAGAAGACTCTGATCTACTTTTTGAGAATATATTACATACATCACACACACACACACACACACAGACACACACACACACACACACCCATCTTATTGGTTCCGTTTATGTTTACTGGAGCAGCTTGACTAATACAAGCATCCAACTCTTTGGTTAATATGCTCAAGGTCTCTACCAGAGAAATCCATGCCTCAGTGGATGCGGGAAAGCAGGTGCCCTGTGGAACTGTTTTCCACATGAAATCCAGCTGAGGCCCTCAGAGAGGAAATAAGTCTCCTTAAGGAAAACCCACTATCCTCAGTCCGGTATATTCCCTGCCTAAGAACTCGAACTTTTTAACACTGTAACTTTAACATTGGCACAAAGCAGGACTCCAAGGGAAAATACTCGAACCTGATCTTCCATCCTATACACTATCCTGCAGGAGCCCATGGACCTAACCCTGAAAGGTTGGCCCAATCATCATGGAAAAGGGGGAAAATCATTTTGTTAGAAATCACAAAAGAAAAACCCCCAAGCCAGTCATCCCTGCAGTTAATCCTCGCATCAAATGTGTTCATTCATAAAGGGTGGAGTCAGCTGGCTAGGTCTGGCCCAACCTGAATTTTCTGTGATAAGATCTCCACTCACAAACGTCCCGCCCCTCTCCCTGGGAGCCCGCTCTTGCCCACTCCCTTCTCTCTCACAGGCCCCCCTCTCTGCTCTCCCTTCTTCTGGCCTCTTCGCCTCACCTGCTCTCTCCTCCCTTGTTAAAAGTAGCCCAGGCTGCCAGACAGCTGTGACACACGCCAAGAGGGGACCTGCTTCTCAACTGTAAACCTGGTACCCAGGAGTTGTTTTACGTTCACTCATGTCGTTGAACGCATTTAAATACACTACACGCAGCCACCTGGCCACATCAGGCGGGGCGAGGAGCAAATGCTCCTCCCAAAATCCCAGCGGCACAAGTGCACACACACAACACACACAGACTTATACGTCTACCCACATACATATATGCACCCACACGTACATATATACACATATACACACATGCACATGCATATATTCACCTATGTGTGCACATGTATATGTGTACACACGTAGGTACATGCTTGCATACATAAGCACATGTATGCACATATACATACACGTATACACAAGTATACACACATGCACACACACACACATGCATATATACACGCGTGCATGCGAACAGCCTGAAGGGGCAACAGTGCACAACTGATGAAGCCTGTGCCAATGGGGAGAACGTGGAGACGCCACCATTGCGAAGGCAACACTGGACTGGCAAAGGCAGTGAACTGCACCCTGCAGTGAAGATGGGCTCCAAGGAGAAAATGAGCATGGCAAGTAACACACCTTCCAGGGTCGCAGGCACACCATGGGACTCAAGTCCCAGCCAGGCACCGGGTCCTACACACACCTCCTTCCCAGCGCTCTGCCTTCACCCTCTCTCCACGCCCCCACTGCCAGCCCTGGGCAGGCTGACCAGCCTTATACCTGGAACGAGAGTGGCCATGGCTAAAGAGCAAGCATCCTGGTGTCCGAGGGCCCGGGCTAAAGCCTGGCACTGCTACTTCCAGAACAAGGCCTGGGGCAGGTGAAGTGTGTGTGACAGTGTGTGTCCCCTCCTCTGTATGGTGGAGGTAAATGATGGTGTCTGCCTTGCGGGGCTGCTGAGAGGACAGGCTGAGGTTTCCCATGGGATGCTGGTCAGTAGAGGCCAGGTCCTGCGGCCGAGGACCTGCCTTGAACCCAGCGCTGCCCACAAGCCAAGACGCCTCATCGCCCTACACCTGATTTTCTCACTGGTAACCTGAGAAACAGGCCAGGATTGGCAATGCTCCCTCCAGCTTGCACGGTACATCACCGCCTGATTTTCCATTCCCTGGCTGGGTTCTCCTTCCGTTGGACTGGCCTTTCTCTGCCCCATCTTGCCCAGCACCATTGAATACCTTCCTAAAGCTCTGCATCCATCACAGCATCACTCAGCCCACGGTCTGCGATGTCTCTCATTCCTTCGGTCCAGACTGCCTGCTGCTCCCGGCACAGAGCCTCCGCCCTATGACAGGTCCTCCTCACCGTGCCACCAGCTCCACACTCGTTCCTGACCCTGAGCCTGTGCCTGCCCTGGTGGCTGCCTGCCCTGGTGGCTGCCTGCCCTCCCTGCAGCTGCCTCAGTTCTATCCCAGCTCAGCACAGTCCAGGCTTCCCCTACTCTCCCTAGGGCCTGCAGCTCTGAGCACTCCACTCTGCCGCCAGCTCCCCTCCATGGAGGTCACAGCAGCACTGCTCACCAACTGCACACACCACTCCAAAAGCATCAAATGGCTTTTGGGGACCACACCCTTGAGACATACCAGGGTTCTTAACCCAAGCACCCCTGACACTCAGGCTGTATAATACTTTAGGGTGGGGAGGCTGTGCTGTGCATTAAGGGATGTTTAACAGCATCCTCGATCTCCGCCCACAGACACTAGAAGCGGCACACACAACCCCCAAATGTTTCCAGATGTCACCAAATGTCCCCTGGCGGGAAAAAAAATCACTCTCAGTCGAGAACTGCTGGAATATGCGTATCTCCGCAGATAAGCCAGGAATTCCTGGTGAACAGAGTCCACATTCTTCATTTCTTTTTATTTCCTCCGAGCCCCTAGCACAGAGCCGTGCATACAACAGACACTATGTAAATACCTGAAAGGAATGAACACAGGAATGAGCACATGGTGAGGCCCATGACATGGCAATCCGGCAGAACAGCGCTGAGCACACGCACTCACGCCCCAGGTAAGCAGAGGCTTCCACACACCTAAAGTCCCCCTCGCCCCTCACCAGATGATAAACTAGCATCAGAACTTCTCAATCTCTGCAGCTCTTAGTGAGTTTCAGCCAGTGCACAGTGCTCTGAATATACAAGGGCTCAATAAAAATGTGAAGACTAAGTAAATTCTGCCCCCAGGGCACTATTTATAGGAAAAAGAAAAAGAAAACTAAAATAAACAGGAAATTGCTACAACCCACTTAGGCTGGGACTACCAAGTTCCATTTTCCCTGTGTTTTCCATCATTGCTTTGTGAGCAGAATGGAGTGAGTTGAGGGCGAGGTGGAGTACGGGAAAGGGGATGGATTTTGGAGTCCGGTGGACAGGGATCTGGGTGCCAGATATACCCATGATTAGCCCAGAGGTCTTTGGCACGTTGCCTCTGGAAGCTTCACTTTCCTCATCTGTAAGAGGAAATATAACACCAACCACAGGAGGTGATTGTGAGGCTGCACTGAAGCAATCTATGCGAAAGTGTTCACACAATAGGCAGTTAATAACAGCACAGTTTCCTCTTCTTCATGCTAACAAGAGAATTTGATCATGTCATTTTTAATCAACAAGTAAGAGGTGTACAACATACCTGTGTACTTCACTGCTAAGTCCCTTGCAAAGAATCCACACTTCATGTCTAATAAAAAGGAGGTTGATTCAAGGACAAATTGGCAGAATGCCCAAGCCTCTTTAGCTGGATAATCTTATCTAAACTGAAGCCCAGAAAGGTTCAGCAACTCGTCCAAGGTCACAAGGCAAAGGGTGGGGTCAGGCTTCATAATCTGATCTTTTCTACTGTATACCTCAACTTCTTACTTTTCCAGTAGAATTCTCAATCTCTGGAATGGCATGACACCCAGCCCTGGCAATGGCAGCAAAGGCCCCTCCATGCCCGCAGGGAAAGGTTCCTGGTGCTGGCTCCCTGACACCACCAGAGCAGATTAACCCTGGGCAATGCTATGTCTCACTGACCTCTGGGCTCAGTGAGGTCTAAGAAGAGGTAAGCCAAGCCCTGGACAGGTCCCCAAAGTGACTAATTCTGACCCAGGAGACAAAGAAAGAAGTCAGACAGCGTTTTTTGTGGGTTTTGTTTTTGTTTTTGTTTTGTGTTTTTGAAACAGAGTCTTGCTCTTATTGCCCAGGCTGGAGTACAGTGGCACAATCTCAGCTCACTGCAACCTCCACCTTCCAGGTTCAAGCGATTCTCTTGCCTCAGCCTCCCAAGTAGCTGGGATTACAGGCACCCTCCACTACGCCCAGCTAATTTTTGTATTTTTAGTAGAGACAGGGTTTCAGCATGTTGACCAGGCTGGTCTCGAACTCCTGACCTCAAGTGATCTGCCCACCTCGGCCTCCCAAAGTGCTGGGATTACAGGCATGAGCCACCAAATGTGGTCCAGACAGCTTTCTTCTATACTCCACAGACCCAAAGACTATGCCTTCTTGGAGCATCCTGGTGCTGTCATGGTCCTAAATGATCCGTGGACGGCTCCTCTTCCTGTCATTCCCTCTCCTTGAATAGACCATGGCCAGTGTCAGTCTCCCCCAGAGCTATGGTGAGGTTCCAGAACTCTGCTTGGCAGAGACACCCTGTTATGTAACGGGGCTGCTAACTCCCACCAATCTCTTGTGAAAGACTTTCCTCAAAGCAGCTAAGGGCAGACAACCAACCAATGACCTTGTTCTTCACTGCCTGGTCTGCTCTAAAGTGAAAATCCCTCTCTCTCAAGCACTTGTGTTGAAGAAGAGCAGAAAAATAGCCTTCCTTTGTGTGCTTCCAGCCAAATCCTATCATAAAATCCTGTGTGTGCCACCTCCCAGACACTGAGCCTCCTTGGAAGGGATTCGGATCTGGGGGGAAATCAATCCTAATGCCTCAGGGCCAACCACATCAAAGTGTTTATTTCTGCCTTCGGTTCTGACACATCTTTCTTTTTTCATTTGATTTTTTTTTCAGAAGGAACTGGAAGGTAAGAAAATCATGAAATATGCATGCAGATATGGATTGTGGGCAGCAGAGACAAAGCAGGATTCTTACCAGAATGAGAAAAGAGGGATCTGCTCCTGGCAATGAAATGAGACCCAGGACCGTCCATTTGCATCTTACTAAGGTTACTAAGTGACCTCATCAGTTCAGCCTCTGAGTACTGAGATTGGTAAGAAAAAAACCACATAGGAAAGAACTGCCCAGGAAGCCTTTATTTTCCTGGTCTCATTTCCATTCCTCTTGCTTCTAGCTCATTAATCAGCAAACAGCATATATGATTTTAAAGCACTAAGTTCAATATCGATGCAAAAAAAAAAAAAAAAAGCTGTAATTTACAAGCCAAGAGAGTAGATTTCAGGTATGACCCAGGGGAAGGCATTTGCAATCTACGCCTTGTTTTATCCACTGCTAAAACTGCTACCTAAATTCTATTGTGTAAATGAACAGAAATCCTTAATTAGATGACATTCTATGGAAGAAACAGCTCTATAGACAAAGCAAGGCAATATTATTATTGCTTCTCTTCATTACCTCTTCATCTGCAAAGTACTAAATTGAACCCCCAACAAGTTTGAATGTAAAGAAGTAGGGAGTTCATGGCAACAATGACTGTGATGATGTCTTGGGGCCCCAAGGTCTGAAGATCGGCTACTTTGCCATCCTCTCTCACCTTGGAGGTCTGCTTCCCCGTCACTCCCCACAACCCAACTCCCTCTGGAAGCCAGAGTTTCTTTTCAGTTTCATCTCCACTCTTCAAGCAGCTGTGGCCTAGCCCCTCCCTGATGACATCCAGTGATGAGAACTAACTCAACGCTTCCTGAAGTGTTCCTCCTTTTCTTTAGAATCCAGCCTTTATCCAGGCTGAAAATCAAACACATCAGTGGATATGGGATTCAGCCATATCTCAGCCAGAGAGTTCCTGAATACCTCTCTCTGTGCCACACCCACCTACTCCTGGCCTAAGGCCTTGTCTACTGGATAACCCAGAAGTCTTCTCCCTTGTTCTCCTGGTGCCAGATGCTCACTCTAAGATCTCAGTCACAGAACAAATGAGCTCTTTCCATCTGGCTCAGGCCCTCTGTTTGGAGCCCCAGGTCCAGGGTTTGGAGAGTTTGGAGCCCCAGGTCCACTCAACACTAAGTCTCCACTGCCTCTAATCACCCTCACATTCTTCCTTCATCTGTTTCCCTCTTTTCTCCCGCCCTTCCTGATATGGTTTGGCTGTGTCCCCACCCAAATCTCATCTTGAATTATAGCTCCTATAATCCCCATGTGTTGTGGGAGGGACCCGATGGGAGGTAATTGAATCATAAGGGTGGGTTTTTCCCATGCTGTTCTCATGATAATGAATAAATTTCATGAGATCTGATGGTTTTATACAGGGCAGTTTCCGTGCACACGTTCTCTTGCCTGCTACCATGGAAGATGTGCCTTCACTCCCCATTCACCTTCCGCCATGACTGTGAGGCCTCCCCAGCTATGTGGAACTGTGAGTCCATTAAGCCTCTTATAAATTCTCTAGTCTCGGGTATTTCTTCATAGCAGTATGAAAATGAACTAATACATTTCTCTATCCCACCCAAATAAATATCTTCCTGCAACATCCTTCATCTACTGTCCTCAGCCTCTGGACTTTCCAATCTAATCACCTAATTTGCACTTTCTTGCTGCTTCCAAGGCTTTAGTCAATTTTCATGAATCAGGCTTTTGTAAAATTGGACTTTTCAAGCCCAGCCATTTGGGATACAGACATAAAATTCAAATATGCTAGAGTTGGAGTAGTTGCATTTCATAATTTTAAACAAGTTTATGTCAGGTATTGCTATAAGGGAACACACACCAAATCTTAAACCTAATAGAATTTAAGCCCATCACAACCATAAAAAGAAATACAACTTTTTTTTTTTTTTTTTTTTTTGAGATGGAGTCTTGCTCCGTCACCAGGCTGAGGTGCAGTGGCGTGATCTCGGTTCACTGCAACTTCCTCCTCCCAGGTTCAAGTGATTCTCCTGCCTCAGCCTCCTGAATAGCTGGCACTACAGGCACGCACTACCACACCAGGCTAATTTTTGTATTTTTAGTAGAGACGGGATTTCACCATGGTGGCCAGGAAGGTCTCAATTTCTTGATCTCGTGATCCTCCGGCTTCGGCCTCCCAAAGTGCTGAGATTACAGGCATGAGCCACCACGCCTGGCTCAACTTGCTTTTAAATGCTGTTAACGAAAGACATGGAATCAACCCAAATGCCCATCAATGATAGACTGGATAAAGAAAATGTGGTACATATACACCATGGAATACGATGAAGCCATAAAAAGGAGCAAGATCATGTCCTTTGCAGGGACATGCATGAAGCTGGAAGCCATTATCTTCAGCAAACTAACGCAGTAACAGGAAACCAAACACCGCATGTTCTCACTTATAAGTGGGAGCTGAACTATGCGAACACACGGACACAGGGAGGAAAACACCACACACTGGTGCCTGTTGGGAGGTGGCTGTGGGGGGAAGGAGAGCATTAGGGAAAATAGCTAATGCATGCCAGGCTTCATACCTAGGTGATGGGTTTGACAGGTGCAGCAAACCACCATGGCACACGTTTCCCTATGTAACAAACCTGCACATCCTGCACATGGACCTCAGAACTTAAAATAAAAATACAATTTAAATGAATAAATACATGCTATTAGCAATGGATTGTTTCTGTTTTACTTCTAACGAAAATTTGGTATTGTCACAGAGACTCCAAGCTGTTCTTCACCAGCTATTCCCTCTTCTAGGGCATAAGGTCTCTGGTTTGGGACTAGACCCACCTCCCTCAGAATGGAGGCCATAGTTCCACCTTTGCTTGGACATTACTGCCCATGAAGCCTCTCCTCACTGACGTCAGCTCTGGGCCCCTTCTTCTGTGCCCTCTCCTCCATTCTGCTGTCTGACATGTGGAGGCCCCCATTTAGGACCATGCAATCATGCCACACAAGACAGAGCAACAAGACAGAAACAGCCCGGGTCCCAGACGCCATGAAGAGCCACAACGACCCTAGAGAGAAACAGCCCCTACCCTGGTTTAACCGCAGTTATGTGCAGTCATAGTTCTATGATTTGCAGGCAATCTTGACCCTAACTGATATAGTCATTAAAGTTTAAGTGTCTCAGGTTTAAAAACTTAACACCAACTTCATAAAGACATTGGCAACCAAGGTAATTTACCAAGAATGCATTTGCCTACATCCTTTAGAGAACCAGGAACATTTAAGAAAACACACACATAGGCTGGGCACGGTGGGCTAACTCCCAGCACTTTGGGAGGCCGAGGCAGGAGGATTGCTTGAGCTCAGGAGTTCAAGACCAGCCTGGACAACATGGTGAAACCCCATCTCTACAAAAAATACCAAAAAAATAGAGGGCACAGTGGCGCACACAAGTAGCCCCAGCTACTCAGGAGGCTGAGGTGGGAGGATCACTTGAACCCAGGAGGTAGAAGTCGTAGTGAGCTGAGATAGTGCCACTGCACTCCGGCCTGAGTGACAGAGTGAGACCCTGTCTCAAGAAGAAAAAAAATATATACATATAAAGGAATATTTGAGGAAAAAAGTTTTACCAATAGTAGGTGAATATGTATTTCCAATTTTTCAATCTTTCACCCACTAAATCCTCAACAGACAACAATGACTCCTGTTGGACATTCTTCCTTCCTGATTCTATTAGTGTAACCTGTTGGAGTATTTTCATCCTTTCAAATTGTCCACCTGTTTATTCCTCAACTTTCCAAAGGACGTCGAAAGCTAAATGAGCAATACACAAACATGAACCATTCTGGGATTCTGCATTTCTTAGAGAGCTAAATGTTTTGTGCCATTTATGAGAAAAGAGTCTTTGAATTTAAAAATTCAGTTAAAATTTTTTAAAACTGGAAAAAAACTGACCTATTAAAACAGAAGTGTCTTAGATCATCGGAAAAGGCATATCATGGTTATAACTAACTGGAAACATCCCTTGATAACATTTAGCTCATTCTAAAGACTCACTACAATTGCTATCACTATATCCTGCATTATGACAAGGTCATTTGCACACACACTCATTAGAAGAAATGGATGTTCGCCTGAATCTGAAAGTTTTTTTTAAAAAGTAAGTTGAAGCCATTTTCCTTTTGCACAAATGGTACGGGCTTTACCTGAGGCAACACATTTTTGTTCTGAGAAATTCACAACAATGACAAGATGTGCTTGCTTCAGAATTCACCTGGAATAACCAGATTCTAAGTTTACAGCCCACAAGTTCACAGCCCAGAAGTTCACAGTCCACCTTTCTTTTTAATTGAACGATTTTGATAGCGGTGTTTTTAATTCTCAATAAGAAGGTTTTCCATGAGAAGAAAGTCCATGTCTGAGCCTCTCTGACCGCAGTGATCTCGTTTAGAATCAGCTGTATCACTAGATCTCAAATCCAAAACAATGAGATACTCAGTTCTTAGTCAACCAAACCAATCATGGTGAAAAGTCACAAGAAAATTCAAGGCCAGGCTGGGCACAGTGGTTCACGCCTGTAATCCAAGCACCTTGGCAGGCCGAGGTGGGCAGATCACCTGAGGTCAGGAGTTTGAGACCGGCCTGGCCAACATGGAAAAACCCCATCTCTACTAAAAATACAAAAAAAAATTAGCCAGGTGTGGTGGCACATGCCTGTAGTCCCAGCTACTCAGGAGGCTAAGGCAGGAGAATCGCTTGAACCCAGGAGGCAGAGGTTGCAGTGAGCCAAGATCACACCACTGCACTCCAGCCTGGGCAACAAAGTGAGACTCTGTCTCGAAAAACTGAAAAAAGAAAGAAAATTCAAGGCAAAAGCAAATAGGAAATGGACACAAAAATATCTGGCTTTATGATGCACTAAACTGAAATGCAGGGTTGGGGACATCAGATTTATCTTCCTATCTATGATTTCCTAATATAAGTATATATGTGTGTGTGTGTACGTGTGTGTGTAACATTAATATTAAAAATTAGCATGCATTTCCTAATTACACACCATTTGATAAAGAAAAATGGCTAAAAATAAGCTGTGTACCAAAATACAGAGAGAACCTGGCTTGGGATTCAACATTTTTCATAGATAATCCACCACAGATAATCTGGCTCTATAACTAAAGTTAAGCTTCTTCTAGCATTTCTCTTCCTCTGATGGACTATAATATAAATGGCTAAGATTTTTTCTTGTCAATAATGACACAACACCCATCAGACGTGAGACACCCAATGTTGCTGGGCTTTTCATGACTCCTTTGGGAACCACGGCAGGCTCAGAATTTCCCCCTCCACCAGCACTGCACTCAAGAGATGTTCACTACATTAACCCAGGTCTCAAGTCCCAGCAGAAATGTCCTATGATCTTCTTCCATCCACCAGCGTATTTCCCCTCACCTCCGTCCAATGGCAATCCCCACATTTTAAAGCAACAAGCACTTTCCATTTGTCCTTCTAAATCTCGGGTGAGAGGAGAGGCTTCCAACAGAAATCCACTGTGACCTCCCTGTGGCTGCTCAGCTGCAATCCACTTGATCCCACCCCACATAACCTAGATAACTAAAAACAGATATGCAGGCAGGGCACAGTGGCTCACGCCTGTAGTCCCAGCACTTTGGGAGGTTGAGGCAGGCAGATCACCAGAGGTCAGGAGTTCGAGACCAGCCTGGCCAACATAGTGAAACCCCATCCCTACTAAAAATACAAAAATTAGCCAGGCGTGGTGGCACACACCTGTAATCCCAGCTACTCGAGAGGCTGAGGGAGCAGAATCGCTTGAACCCAGGAAGTGGAGGTCACAGTAAGCTGAGATTGCGCCACTGCACTCCAGCCCGGGTGACAGAGAGAGACTCTGTCTCAAATTAAAAAAAAGAAGAAAAAGAAAAGAAAATTGCAGGCATGAGTGTATACATGCATTTTCTTGTGAGAAGATGCACAGCTTCCATCTGACGTTTCAGACATTAAAAGGTTAAGAACATGGACTCAGCGATCATGGAAGTTTCCTTCCTGCCCCAGCACGCTGAAAGGTGGAAGGCTGTTGATGCTGGCCACATCTCCCCAGGAGCCCTGTGAGCACCCCAAAGGTAATCCTGCCCAGTCTCACACTTCAGTCTGCGCTCCTCAACCCTTATAGAAATCATTCGCTAGCCACAACACCACTTCTTATAGGACACACCAGCAAGACCTGTCCTGGGGTAGCCTGAGGGACAGACTGGTGACCGCAGAGGGTTGTTTCTAGAAACCGTGTCATGAAAAGATTTGCCTACTTGGCTCAGTAAACATGCCACAATGCCCTGTTATCAACAAGAGTACAGAAAGCAAGTGTGCAAGGGTTTCATCCATGAATAAAAGTACCCTGCACCTTCCAGGGTTGACAGCCTGTGAAGCACAGGAGCGGAGCCAGGGAAGCCGGGCATCCACCATCAGCCAGAGACAGAGGGAGTGGGACTTTAAAATCAGTCCCAAAGATGAACAATCCTATACCAAGAAAGTAACGACAGACAGTCACCTACAGCAAAGGAGCAGCCGTTCTTGTGTACAGCTCGGGGGACCTCAAGCTACCAGCCTGGAGGCTCACACATACAGGTGTGGTGGGGAGCCCACAACTGACTCCTTGGGGTGGTGAGAATCTGCCCTCGGGTCCTGTGGCCCTTAAATGGTGAGTGTCACCATGTGATACCATGACTGTCAAACAGTGGCTGTGCGTGCATTTTTGTTACTACAGTTTCATTTTATTTCATTTGAGATGAGGTCTCACTGTGTTGCCCAGGCTGGTCTTAAACTCTTGGCCTCAAACAATCCTCCCACCTCCACCTCCCAAGTAGCTGGGATTACAGGTGTGTGCCACTGCATCTAGCTAATTTTTTGTATTTTTTGTAGAGACAGGGTCTCACTATATTGCCCAGGCTAGTCTCAAACTCCTGGGCTCAAGCGATCCTCCCACATCAGCTTCCCAAAAGCATGCGAGTGGATGGCAGGTATGAGCCACTGCACCCAGTCTTTTCTTTTTTTTTTTTTTTTTTGAGATGAGGTGTTACTCCAGTTTCCTAGTAAGCAGAACCCCACGGTTTGATTTCTCTGTCCATGGCGGCAATAGCAGAATTTCACCATGATGGCGGCTCAGGCTCTGCCACAAACCTGGCACCGTGAAGGGCAGCCCGAGAGTGGAAGGAGCCAGGCCTGCAGCCGCAACAGCCACAGTAGGCACTTCCCACTGTCATCCTCTCAAAGAGACCCTGTGAAAAAAACAAAAAAATTAAGCCTCCAGTCAGAAATGCATTAAACAGGCCAGGCACGATGGCTCACACCTGTGATCTCAGCAGTTTGGGAGGCTGAGGTGGGCAGATCACTTGAGGTCAGGAGTTCGAGACCAGCCTGGCCAACATGGTGAAACCCCATCTCTACTAAAAATAAAAAATTAGCCAGGTGTGGTGGTGATGCCTGTAATCCCAGTTACTTGGGAGACTGAGGCAGGAGAATCACTTGAACCCGGGAGATGGAGGCTGCAGTGACCGAGATGGCACCACTGAACTCCAGCCTGGGTGATGGTGTGAGACTCTGTCTCAAAAACAAAGAAAAAAAAGAAATTCATTAAACAGAAGGAGACTGAGAATCGTGGCTACAGGGCTTTTAATGACTTTATCAACAATTAGCAATCGGCGGCCGGCCTTCCTGTGCCAGACTCTGCGGGAAATGCTCATGATTTCAGTTCATCCTCTCGGCGATACTGGGAGGTGTTTCACCGCTTCATAGGTGAGGAAAGGCAGGCACAACCTGCCCACTGCCTGCAGCTCAACAGGACACCTAGGGCTGACTTACAGGATCTTCTATTCTGGTAGAATTTTCTTTCATACAAGGAAATTCCCATCCACCCACCCCCTCACAACAAAAAAATATATATACATTTCCTTATTTTTGTATCACCTCCAAAAATATTTTTTGAATGACCCTGGACTATGAGGCAGCAGTCATTTTCTAATAATAAAAAGGGGTTAATAAAATAAATACAGGTGCTTCTGGCAAAAGCACTATCACCTGGTTCAACCTCTGTCACTGGTGTGAAGACCACCACATCCAGCCCAATGAACTCAATTAATCACCATCAGTTACACAGCAGAACAGCACAGCCAAATGTTCCCAGGGATTTCCTAGCAAAGCCTGAGGTTCTGTCTTCAAACACCTGCACACACATGCACGCAGACACACACACACACACACACATACTCTCATACCCTCCAGTGATGCAGTTACAACCAAGTGTGCATGGGGCCAGGTGATTCTGGCAAAAACACAGAAATCAGCATTTCTCAAATCCCCAGCATCTGCACAGAACCATTTTCCTTATTTTCCTTCATAGAAATTCCCACCTATACATGAGTTTATTTCTGGAAATTGTTTTGTTCCATTAACATTTTAAGAATAACTTTTTATGGATACCTAATCGTTGGACATATTTATGGGGCATGTGTGATATTCTGATGTGTGCATACAGTATGTCATCACCAAATCAGCGTATTTAGGATATCTATCACGCGCAAACATTTGCCATTTCTCTGTGGTTTTTCTTTTTTCTTTTTGGCTCATTGCAACCTCCGCCTCCTGGGTTCAAGCGATTCTCCTGCCTCAGCCTCCTGAGTAGCTGCGATTACAGGCATGTGCCACCACACCTGGCTAATTTTTGTATTTTTAGTAGAGACAGGTTTCACCATATTGGCCAGGCTGGTCTTGAACTGACCTCAGGTGATCGGCCCACCTCGGCCTCCCAAAGTGCTGGGATTACAGGCGTGAGCCGCCGCACCCAGCCTCTTTGTGGTTTTTCTTTTCGTTATAGAGTGAATATCAGTGAGACTGCCCTAATTCTATCACTTTAAGAAAGTAATAATGTTCTGCTACTTTTTCTCAATGCCCTTCCTCTGTCCGCCCTCTGTCAGAATACCTCTTTCTCCCATATCACTATCCTGTCTTCCCATTAAGCTGGGGAGCCAGTCCCCCAGTTCCCCCTCCACACCACAGGACCTAACATCCCTGGGCAGCAGAATAACCCCGTCCCAGCGCCCTGCAAGCAGCCAGCTTTAATGACAGTTCCAAGAACAGTCTCGCTGTTTCACACTTATCCCACTCAAAACAATGTCCTCAGGCAGGAGGGGAAGACCCTACAAGTGACTTCCCAGGCCCAAGTAAGGCTTCACAGCAGAGGCCAGGGCTGGGTAGAGGGGGCGAGTTGCTCTCACTCAGAGGCCCTCGGAGACTGCACCCAGGAAAACCTTCCCCACAGCAGTGGCTGGAGACACACCCACGTGGCACCCTTGCCCTCCCCTGCTCCAGCCAAGGAGCCACCAACACATCCAGAGCCCAGACCCGTGAGTGTGCCTGCCCCGTTCACACCTGCCCCACGCTCCCTCAAGCCAGGGAACATCACATCCAGCAACACATTCCTCTCGGGCTGAATGCCGGAATGCAGACTCGGAGGTGTCGGGGCGTCTGGCAGCTGCAGGGACATCAGCCCGTGGTCCCTGCAGAACCAGCTTCACCTAAAAGCAATCGCTGACACCAGAGAGTCCACCTCAGGCAAACTTCTGTGAGAGTTGCAGATAACAGCTCAGAAATGATGGTGGAAGAGACTAAACAGAGGGGAGAAAGGGCTCGTCCAGCATAACTACCACGAAGGCAAAGGTGGAAGTTATCCCATTCATTTATGTCGTGTAAACCAGGCATCCCCAACCTCCGGTTAGGAACGAGCTGCACAGAAGTAAGCAGGGAGAAAACGAGCGAAGCTCCATCTGTATTTCTCCCTCCTCCCAAGGCCACCCCAAGAGCCTGTTGTTAAACATTTACCAGCACACCACTGGGCTGCTTCCCTACCGCTTGATTAAAATGATCCTTATGGAAGCACAAATGACTTCACTGTCACTAAATCCAAGGGACACTTTTTAGTCTTTATTTTTCTTCAACTCTCCAGGATGTTTGAGATCCTTCCCTCCCTCTTGAGCCTCCTCTCCTGCCTGGCTTCAGGGGCTCACTGCTGACTTTTCATTTCTAAGCACATGTTCTCAGGCCCTCGACACCAGGGGTCCTCAGCCTGCGGGCCATAAACCGATACCAGTCTGTGGCCTGTTAGAAACCAGGCCGCACAGGCCAGGCACAGTGGCTCACGCCTGTAATCTCAGCACTTTGGGAGGCCGAGGCCGGCGGATCACAAGGTCAGGGGATCGAGACCATCCTGGCTAACACAGTGAAACTCCCTGTCTCTACTAAAAATATAAAAAAATTAGCCAGGCACGGTGGCGGGCGCCAGTAGTCCCAGCTACTCGGGAGACTGAGGCAGGAGAATGGCATGAACCTGGGAGGCGGAGCTTGCAGTGAGCCGAGATCACACCACTGCACTCTAGCCTGGGCCTCAGAGCGAGACTCCATGTCAAAAAATAAATACATAAATAAATAAAAGGCTGCACAGCAGGAGGGGGACGGCAAGTGAGCGAAACCTCATCTGTATTTACAGCCGCTCCCCATCCCTCGCATCACCGCCTGAGCTCCGCCTCCGTCAGATCAGCGGCGCCATTAGATTCTCACGGGAGTATGAACCCTATTGTGAACTGCGCACGCGAGGGATCTAGGTTCCACACTCCTTATGAGAATCTAATGCCTGATGATCTGTCACTGTCTCCCATCACCTCCAGATGGGACTGTCTAGTTACAGGAAAACAAGCTCAGGGCTCCCACTGGCTCTACATGATGGTGAGTTGTAGAATTATCTCGTTATATATTATATATTACAATGTAATAATAACAGAAGTAAAGTGCACAATAAATGTCATGTGCTTGAATCATCCCGAAACCATCCCCCATCCCAGTCCACGGAAACATTTGTCTTCCATGAAACCAGTCCCTGGTGCCAAAAAGGTTGGGGACCACTGAGGGAGACAGTCTGTATTCATGAAAATCTCCTCTGCCATCTGCACTAACTGGAGTCACTGCTTATGTTCATAGTGAGTTGATCCATGGAATCAACCCCTCATTTTGTGCCCTGCAGAAGACACTCTAAAGATAGTCATTTCCTCATACTATACTCATCCAGGGTGCACAGGGGAAGCACTGAGTGTTAACCACCATCACATCTGGGATTTGGGCACCCACCTCTGCGATTTCAGGGGGCTTGGAAGGCCTCCATCCTCAGAAAAAAAAATCTGCACCCATTCAACAGTCAACACTGGAAACTTGACCCAGACTTCCAACTCTGTGAAGTACAATAGCAAGTTGTTAGCAGTCTCTTCTACTTAGAGTGAATGGGGTTGGGAGAATTAGAGGGAATGATGGCTGTGAAGGGAGTGGAGCTTGGAAAAGAGGTTTCCTGGCACTTTAGGAAATACCCTCGTATTTCCCAGGCTTGTGTTCATCAAGTGAAGTTGCTCTGTTGAGATCCTGAAATGCCAAGCTTATTTCAACATGGCTGGAGGAGCCATGAACCCATGTCTATTTAACAAGCATGTATTAAATAGGTATTTTTATGCTATAGGTAATTTGTTGTCCCAAATCCACACTTCCCATTTCAGCTAATATTGACATTTGCTGAATACTCCTCAGGGTCTACAGAGAACCAACATTCTGCTGTTAGAACAGACAGAAAAATCACAGTCCCAGTGACTCCTCAGAACAGACTGCATCTTTCTGAGGACAAAAGCCCCTTGTAGGATCCACAAGAAGTGATTCCAGTTACGTGACACCTTTCTTCTGGGATCTGTGGCATTGCAATGATGAGCTGAGCTCGCTGCAGGCATTGATTTGAAAAGGATTCAAGGATGACTTTGGAGTCAACCCAATAAAATCAAACTCAAATCAACAAAAGTACAAATCAACTCAGGCTGTCTCTGCCACAGGCCAACTCCCAGGTCCATGTTAGCTGTTAGAGGACAGTCCATGAAATAAGTCATCAAATTATAAGCCTTGTGAATTGATCAATAAGGTCACTCAATTTTATGAATTAGAGGCTGGAAGAAGTGTGGGGTAGTTCATTTGAAATAATCCATGTATTCCTGGAAGAGTTCACATAAATCAAAATTTTCCATATAAAAGAGGAAACCCGATAAAGAGACCTTGAGGAGAAGCCTATTTTAATGAAAAAATTTAGCTCCTAAAATGATGAGAACATATGAACATAATGCGAGGGACAGCTGACACCGGGGCCTCCTTCAGGGTGGAGGATGGGAGGAGGAAGGGGATCAGAAGAAATCACTATTGGTTACTAGGCTTAGTAGTTGGGTGATGAAATAATCTGTACAACAAACCCCCATGACATGAGTTTACCTATATCACAAACTTACACATGTACCCCTGAACCTAAAATAAAAGGTGTTTTTTTTCTTTTAATTAGCTCCTAAATTTCTCCTTTTGCCCAGTTTTGTTTTATGTGTGAATTTTTTTATTTTTACATTTTTAGAGACAGGATCTCATTCTGTCACCCACGCTGGGGTGTAGTGGTGCGATCATGGCTCACTGCAGCCTCAAACTCCTGGGCTCAAGTGATCCTCCCTTCTCAGCCTCCCAAGTAGCTGAGACTACAGGCATGAACCACAGTGCCTGGTAATGCATGAAATGTTTTAAAAGTGGGCCCCTCGGGGCTGTAAGCCTCTGGCTCACTGCCTGTAACACAAAGATTAAACTGAGAGAGACCCCAAATTCCACGGCTCTGCTTCATTGCTGCCTTTTTATAAAATCTTGTAACAGAGAAGCTGGCATTTTGGCTGGGCTACAAAGAAGGAGTTTACTCAGCAGATAGTTGTACTAGGGTTCTCCAGAAAAACAGAACTAATAGTGTCTGTACGTGTGTGTGTGTGTGTGTGTGCACGCGCACACATGCACACGTGGGTACATGGTGCATGATTTATCATAAGCAATTATAAGAGACTGACAAGTCCCCGCCAGGTGCAGTGGCTCATGCCTGTAGTCCCAGCACTTTGGGAGACCGAGGCAGGCAGATCACGAGGTCAGGAGATCAAGACCATCCTGGCTAACACAGTGAAACCCCATCTCTACTAAAAATACAAAAAATTAGCCAGGTGTGGTGGTGGGCACCTGTAGTCCCAGCTACTCCAGAGGCTGAGGCAGGAGAATGGCCAGAACCTGGGAGGCGGAGCTTGCAGTGAGCTGGGATCGTGCCACTGTACTCCAGCCTGGGTGACAGAGCGAGACTCTGTCTCAAAAAAAAAAAAAGAGACTGGCAAGTCCCAAGACTCATAGAATTAATAGCATGTGTACGTGTGTGTGTGCACTGCATGGGTGCTTCATTTATTGTACAAAATTATAAGATGCTGGCAAATCCCAAGACCTGTAGCGTACGTCAACAAGCTGGAGACGAGACTCTCTGCTAATCTTGTGGCACTCTGCCGTGGTCCCTGGGAAGGAAACTGCCTTCAAATCAGGCCGTCTGGGTGACATGGTAGCCAGAGCCTGGGATGGACACCAAAGACTCACTCTGGGCTGAATTTGGCTCTGTTAAGCGAACAGCGCTGCTACAAGAGACAGACGCATACTCACAGGGCTATCAGGTCTTAAGCCCTAGTTAATATGCTGGGAAAAAAATAATATGACATCTTGGCATATTTAGCAATTTTCTTCTGAAAGTTCCAACCCTCCCTTATCGGTGACCCTGTTTGAACTCATGACTCCTCGAGAAAACGTTAACATTTCCTGTTTGCAGATAAAGAAGCTGAATTAGAGTTTTGAGCGGTGTGGCAGAGACGCCACAATCTGGTAGTCACAATCGAAGCCCCACCCTCCCTTCCAGGACTCCCAAAGCACCTACAGGCCCAACGAGCAGTGCCTCTGCAGCCTGCAGACCCACCGGCTCCCTGTGACCAGCCCTCCCCTCTCCTCCACCTGGGACAGGCAGGTGGCAGCAGACACATTTGCAGCTGGGGCCACCTCGCCACTGAACCTGGGGCCCAAGCTTCACCACCATTGTGCTGCCTGTTTCTACTCCCTCCCCCACGACAGGGGGCACGAGGAGCTCCACAACCAGAAAGAATCCCCAGGAAGCTCTGACCATCCCAGGAGCCACCACTGGCCACAGTCCTTCTGCTCCCCAGGGACAGCCGAGAGGCAGCCACGTCTCTCTACCCCAGGAGCTCCTCCTCCCCTAGCTCGGTCTCACTCACTCGCTGTAATAATCTGCCTTAGCCATGTTCGCTAAAAATACACTTCGCCTCTCGGTTACACTTACTAATGCATTCTATTTCAGGCCCGTGTGCATTCTTGCTTAGAAATACCCGTATGGGGAGCGGTGAAAACATGCAAGACGTGAAGGCGACTTTCCTTCCCGAAAGCCTCCTCTCTGTCCGGCTGTGCTCAGCACACCAATCTGAAAAGCAAATCTTTCCACACCAGATGGTAATCGGTGACATTACAGAAAAGGCCTGGGGTAGGAGGAGAAGGGAAGAAGCCAGTAAGGGCAGAGATTTCTGCGGGGCACACCATGAGGTACCCCTGCTTCCTGGTCATCACACCTGCCCTCCCATGACACGCCCAGCCCAGCCCCACCCCCTCCCCCCCAGAGTCACTGTGCCCACAGGAGCAGCTGCAGAGTGGCCTCTCCACTGGAGTCACATGCCACATGTTAGAAACCTGGAGAACATCTCAAGAGAGCCACAAGCTAGGCTCTCCTCCACGAGCTGCCCCCTGGAAGACACTTTCCACATCTGAGGCCAGGGGACGTCATCGCTTCCACTGCTGAGTGGTCCCCGTGAATGAGCTCACCCTCCCCGCAGCTATTTCCCTGCCTGGCTTCCACCATCTTGGAAGAACAAGTAAGCTCAGCTGCCAGTGGCTCCCTGACTTGGCTGGTGTTTCCAAGAACTTCTGCTCTCTCCTATAATTAAGGAGGATAATGACAGCTCTCCATCTCCGATCTCTGCCTTCCTGCAGGGAAGGAGGCAGAAGAACGATTGTGTGATCCCTGTTTAAAGTCCTTAATCATGTTTCTTCTTCCTGTTTTAGCCCAGGATCTCCTGTAATTGGCCCTCCTCCCTCCAAACACAGAGTTCACGCGTTTTCCTGTATCTGGAGGTGAAACACGAAGAGAGATGGCGACTTGGTGTTGCCAGCCGCAGAGCAGGCGGGGCCGGAAGCAGGGATTGCAATGCCCGGTGGGAAGCTGAAAGCAGGGAGGAGGCTGAGCCGGAGCTCAGAGCCCAGCTGGTGCATATTTATGTCTTCCTTATTGCAAAGCTCATGGGTGACAGACACTTGGATGCGCGCAGTGAAGCATTTGGAACGCCACCCAAGCCTGCCTTCTACGAGTCCAGGATTGTGGCTGCGGGCACCAACCTCACACCCCCATGAAGTCACCGGGTCACCAGCTATAAAATCAGCTCATTAAGAAAATTAAAACTGGAGGCCAAGCACAGTGGCTCATGCCTTTGGGAGCACTTTGGGAGGCCGAAGTGGGTAAATCACCTGAAGTCAGCAGTTTGAGACCAGCCTGGCCAACATGGCAAAACCTGATCTCTACTAAAAATACAACAATTAGCTGCTCATGGTGGTGCACGCCTGTAATCTCAGCTACTAGGGAGGCAAAGGCAGGAGAATCACTTGAACCTGGGAGGCGGCGGTTGTAGTGAGCCGAGATCACGCCACTGCACTCCAGCCTGGGCAACAGAGTGAGACTCTGTCTCAAAAAGGAAAAAAAAATTAAAATTGGATCTCTTTTTTTAGAGGCCAGGTGTGATGACTCCAGCCTGTAATCCCACTGCTTTGGGAGGCCCAGGCGAGAGGATCACTTGAGGCCAGGAGTTTGAGATGACCCTAAGCAACATAACAAGACCACATCTCTACAAAAAATAAAATTTATAAATAAATTTTTAAAAAATAGAAATTAAAGAAAAATTAAACATGAGACTGCTGTAATCCCAGCACTTTGGGACGCAAAGGCGGGCAGATTGCTTGAGCCCAGGAGGTCAAGAACAGCCTGGGCAACACAGCAAGACCCTGTCTCTACAAAAAATGCAAAAGTTAGCCAGGCGTGGTGGTGCACACCTGTAGTCTCAGCTACTTGGGAGGCTGAAGTGGAGGACTGCTTGAGCCCAGGAGGTTGAGGCTGCAGTGAGCTATGATCACGCCACTGCACTCCAGCCTGAGTGACCAAATGAGACCTTGTCTCAAAGAAAAATTAAATTAAATTAAAATATAAAGCATGAGACTGAATGATGCTCCACAAACACAGAATGGAGTCTCCCACAGGGTAGAATATAGGGGCTACACCCAGGTCCACCCAGACAGCAATGCAGGGCAGGGAGGAAGCTGGGCATTAGAATGAGAGATTAGAAAGAAAAATGGGAACAGGGATCTAGAAATGAGTATTTTTCTAACCATATTATCTCTTTTGCACACTTAGCTAGCACCGTAATGTGGGCAGGGAAAGGGTTATTAACCACCTGAAATATGAGATCCTACCATCTGAAAACGTCCTGAACCACAGCGGCAGCGGCAATGTTATTTATGGAGGTCTCTTCCACCCTTAGTAACAGAAAGCGCGGCTGTGAACAAGGAGCTCTCCAGCACCGTCGTGACATCCCTTTGGTGAGTTCAGAGACCAAAATTAGCCCTATCGCCTGGCAGTCTATCTTCAGGTGCTACCACTAAATGCAATTACATGTGCATAACAAAAGACAGTCACAGCCACAGGCTGTTCATCAAGCTGGCCCAGTAGGTATCAATGCAAATGTGTGTGTCACGTATACACGCATATGGGGGAAAAAACCCATTAGCACTCAGGAAAAGTTCCGCAGGTTCCCAGGCCTCATCCTTTTTCATTTTCTCTGCTATTCCTCTGAATCTGGCTCCCAAGACAGAAGAATTCACTGCTTCGAGAGAAAAAAAAATTCTATTATTCCAACTTTCTTTCCTGGAGCATAAAGAGTGAAAGTGGCCGGTGAGATTTCTTTAGCAGGAAGAAAGTTACTTCTCCATTTTGGCTACCGGGTGTTATAAAACAAGTGGATGCAAGCGCTGACCTGGAGGTCCCCTAAGTGGCCCTACATCTCCACCCAGCTCCAAAGGTGACCTGCGGGAAGGGCCTCATTCCCTCCAGAACCACCCCCAGCTTCCCAAAGTGCTGCTGGGCACAGTCTGCAAACTCTAGTGGGCAGGGGTGGGGTGAAGAAAGGAGAGGAGGCAGGAGCCAGCACTATGCTACGGTTCACATCCCTCTTTTCAGAGACAAGCTAAGAGGATTAAAGAGGTAATTGTTGCTTCTGGAGCTCTTCAGCTATAAGATGCTCTATAAATACCAATAACCACCCCCTCAAGGGAAACACATTTCATTACAGTGGAGGTAAACACTGCACCAGCCTGCAAGAAAGATGTGATGGATCACGAAGGGATTTGCTGCCATTCTAAGCAGACTGATGGAGAGTAATTATTAAGCATCGTGAGTGATCCACACAGTGTCCAGCTCTGACTGCAGGCCCGAGCTCCCTGGGCTGCTTGTAATTGCCCAATGGGTTCTTCCTGCCCACTCCACAGACAAAAGCAATTCACTGAGACCATGGCATTGCAACAAGAAAGAGTTTAGGCCAGGCGTGGTGGCCTACACCTGTAATCCCAGCACTTTGGGAGGCCAAGGCGGGCAGATCACCAGGTCAGGAGTTCGAGACCAGCCTGACCAACATGGTGAAACCCCGTCTCTACTAAAAATATAAAAATTAGCCGGGCGTGGTGGTACACGCCTGTAATCGCGGCTGCTCAGGAGGCTGAGGCAGGAGAATCACTGGAACCTGGGAGGCGGAGGTTGCAGTGAACCAAGTTCCTGCCACTGCACTCCAGCCTGGGCAACAGGGCGAGACTCCATCTCAAAAAAAAAAGAGAAGAGTTTAATTGACACAAGGCCAGCCACACAACATGGGAGACAGGTTATTACTCAAATCAACCTCAGAGGCTACGGTTTTTCAAAGATAGTTTGGTGGGTCAAGGACTAAGGGAATGGGTGCTGCTGATTGGCTGGGAATGCAATCATAGGGGTTTGGAAAATGGTCCTGGTGTACTGAGTCCCTTTCTAGGTGGGGCCACAGGACTGGCTGAGCCAAGAGTTGAGGGTCCAGGTGGGGCCACCTGGTCATCAGAAATGCAAAAGGTGGAAAAGACATCTCAAAAGGCCCATCTTGGGTTCTAACACCACAATAGTGATGTTATTTACAGGAGTAATTGGGGAAGTTGCAAATCTTGTGATCTCTGGAATAATGGCTGGTAACAATTTAATTATGCCCACGTCTTAGTAGAATTCAGGCCCCTCTCATCCTCCTAACCTGGTGGCCTTTCATTAGTTTTATAAAAGCAGCTCAGTTTGGGGGAAAGGCTATTATCATTTAAACTATAAACTAAATTTCCCCCCAAGTTAGCTTGACCCAAGCCCAGGAATGACCAAGGGCTGTTGGAGGTTAAGGGCAAGATGGCAGTTGGTTAGATCCGATCTCTTTCACTGTCTTATTTTTTCTCACTGTTACAATTTTTGCAAAGGCAGTTTCATGCTTGCATCTCATATATCTACACGTTTCCATGTGGCCATCCAATGTGCACTTATTAAACATCAACTCTATGCCTGAGAGGCAGTGGAACCTAGCAGTTGGGTGCATGGGCTCTGGGGCTAGGCAGCCTAAGTGGGGATCCTAGTTCTGCCTGCTCATCACCTACACGGCCTTGGGCAAGTCCCTTAAACTCTGAGCTCCTCCCTTTCCTCCTCTGTAACATGGGGGTGATAAGAGAACCCACCCCACGAGGTTATTGTGAGAAGTCAACAAGATCATCTGAGCCCAAGTGGTTAGACCCTAACGGACACACAGCAAGTGCTATCAAAGGGATTGCTATTAGAGGTACCTAGCAAATAATGGCTCTATAGGATTTTGTTTATTCCTTGAGTGGTTTTTTTTTGTTTTTTGTTTTTTGTTTTTGAGATGGAGTCTTGCTCTGTCGCTCAAGCTGGAGTGCAGTGGCGCGATCTCGGCTCACTGCAACCTCCGCCTCCCGGGTTCCAGTGATTCTCCTGCCTCAGCCTCCCGAGTAGCTGAGATTGCAGGCGTGCGCTATCACGTCCAGCTAATTTTTGTATTTTTAGTAGAGACCGGATTTCAGTTGGCCAGGCTGGTCTCGAACTCCTGACCACCCATCTCGGCCTCCCGAAGTGCTGAGATTACAGGTGTGAGCCACCGAGCCCGGCCAAGTATTTTAAATTAGATTATTTTGGTATCAACAACTAGAGGAAACAGGAAGGATCTGCCAAGCAGGTGTGGACCAAGCCCCTACCCAGTGACCAGAGATGTGTGGGAAACAGACAAGAAGCAGAAGACAAGGTCACTGAATTTGGAGCTTACCAGGGCCCCAACAATGAAGGGGTGCTTAGGCCTTTTTTTAGTCTTTGGCTGCCAGGAAGTGGCATTTGGGGGGGCAGAAAGCAGAGCATGTATCCAGGACGTCGTTGAGAACTGTGGACACAGTGATAATAAGCAGCAGACTGCGTTATAGTGGATTTTATTGTTGCTTTAAGTTCTGCACAGACAATGCACTCCCTCGGCTCCTCCTCCTGCCCCGTCCCTTTGCCTTGGTACACCCATGCATGCCAGGATCCCAGCCAGAAGAAAGAAGAGCCGCTCTCCTGAACCTACCCGTGCCTCCTGGGCAGTGACAGGCTTCCCTCTGCTGCGGGCTCCTGAGCTGTACATACTCTAAAGGCCAGAGCACACCTGTGGGGCGAGAGACAGGCCCAGGTGAGAGTCCCTGTCCTGCCCCTTGGCTGAGTGGGAGACTCAGCACAGAGCTGCTCAAAGCATGGTCCCCACAGCAGCGGCGGCAGCAGCAGCACTGCTGGGGAACTTGTTAGAAATGCAGCTTCTCGGCCGGGCTCGGTGCTGGCGCCTATAATCCCAGCAATTTGGGAGGCTGAGGCAGATGGATCACCTGAAGTCAGGAGTTCGAGACCAGCCTGACCAACATGGTGAAACCCCATCTCTACTAAATACAAAAAATTAGCCAGGCGTGGTGGTGCGCACCTGCAATCCCAGCTACTCGGGAGGCTGAGGCAGGAGAATCACTTGAACCCAGGAGGCAGAGGTTGCAGTGAGCCAAGATCGCACCACTGCACTCCAGCCTAGGCAACAAAAGTGAAACTCCGTCTCAAAAAAAAGAAAAAAAGAAAAAAAAATGCAGCTTCTCCAGCGTCACTGGGGACCCACTGGCTCAGCAGCGCCGTGGGCAGGGCCAGGAGCCGTTTTCACATACTCCACAGGAGACTATGATGCATCTTCAAGTTTGAGAGTCATTGGCTCCCAAAAAAGTTACTAAAATGATTCTGAGTCAGAGTTCCCCCATTCATAAAAAAAGAGTTAATTGGGCGCACCTCATAAGGCTATTGTAAGAATTAAAGGAGAAAATACGTCAAACACTTGGTAGAGGGCCCTAAACGTTGCAGGCGCTCAGGACGCTGTGGCGATGACTATTATTATCATTCATGTCAGCAGAACAGATTTACCAAACAGCAGTAACTCAGAAACAGCGGGGAGGATGGAATCTGTAACAGGGAAGCGGTTTAAAGGAGAGCATGAGAGAGAGGCTAAGATCCTACTGCACAGTGCCCAAGAGACAGGAAACTCACAGTTCCTCAGGATTTGGGGTCGCCAGTCCAGGTTACCTGTGATCCAAGTTTCAAGATCCACAGAGATCCCCACCAACTCTGACTCCTCAAGTACCTTGGATTTGGAATTCCAGGAAATAAAAGTGCACCCCGTATTACTGTTAAAATAAGGACAGGCCAGGGGCAGTGGCTCATGCCTATAAATGCTGGGACTCGTTGGGGCCAGGAGTTTGAGACCAGCCTGGGCAACATAAAGAGACACTGTCTCTACAAAAAATAGAAAAAAAAAAATTAGACAGGATGGTGGTACATGTCTGTAGTCCCAGGTACTCAGGAGGCTGAGGTGAGAGAATTGCTTGAGTCCACGAGGTTGGGGCTGCAGTAAGCCATGATCACACCAACACTCTAGCCTGGGTGACAGAGCGAGACCTTGTCTCAAAAAATAAGTACAGGTTGGGTGCAGTGGCTCACGCCTGTAATCCCAGCACTTTGGGAGGCCGAGGCAGGTGGATCACGAGGTCAGGAGATCGAGACCATCCTGGCTAACACGGTGAAACCCCGTCTCTACTAAAAAAATACAAAAAAATTAGCAGAGCGTGGTGGAGGGCACCTGTAGTCCCAGCTACTCAGGAGGCTGAGGCAGGAGAATGGCATGAACCCGGGAGGCGGAGCTTGCAGTGAGTCAAGATCACACCACTGCACTCCAGCCTGGGTGACAGAGCAAGACTCTGTCTCCAAAAAAAAAAAAAAGAAAAAGAAAAAAAGAAAAGGTGATATAAAGAGGCATAATAGCCAGATGGACAGCATCTAGAATTCAGGAACTAAGGAGAGAATGTGCTGAAAGAATCCCATCTACAAGACTGGAATAAAGCATACGGGATTCCATGGGATCCAACACCACCACTGCCTGAAACGATGGCAGAGGTCACGAAGGCTTCCCCGCAGCCAAACACGGTGGATGTTTGTCAATCACCTTTCCCCTCTGGCATCGCACAGGTGAGCACTCCCTCCGCCTTCAGCTTCTTCCCCCTTGACTTCCAAGACACCGTCTGCCCTGGTTCTCATCTGAACACCCTGCCCCTCCCTCCACAGTCTCCTCTGTGGGCTCCACTTCCCTGGCCCATGTGACTACCACACATCGTCCTGTCTCTTCCAGCCCCTTCACCTGTCTACCTAAATCCCGTTCTTCCTGCTCTGGAGTCTGCAGTGGTGCCTATGAAGAGAGTAGAATGGGACCACACTCCAGGGGAGACTCCGCCTCCTAATCGTGCCCCTTTCGTCTTCCCCAGTCATCTCAGATGGACACAGGAGTAAACAATGAAGAGGACAATCTTCTGCTTTTTTGAGCCAGAGTCTTGCTCTGTCACCCAGGTTGGAGTGCAATGGCATGATCTTGGCTCACTCCAACCTCCGCCTCCCAGGTTCAAGCATTCTCCTGCCTCAGCCTCCCAAGTAGCTGGCATTACAGGTGTCCACCACTACTCCCAGTTAATTTTCGTATTTTTAGTAGAGACGGGGTTTCACCATGTTGGCCAGGCTGGACTCGAACTCCTGACCTCCAGTGATCTGCCCGCCTCGGCCTCCCAAAGTGCTGGGATTACAGGTGTGAGCCACCGCACCTAGCCAGGACTTCTCTTCTTCTTGTGACCTGCGTTCTTTCTGACAATCCCATGCCCCGGGCATTGGCGATGACTCCATAATCCCTCAAGCTTCAGGTCCATCCTAGGCATCAGACCTCTCCACCCAACTGCCTACATAACTCTGCCTGGATATTCCAACAGCAGCACAAGAGCAAGTTACCTGCCAGTAAACTCATTGTCTTTCCCGTAACAGCCACTCCTCTAACTGTGGGCTTCACTCCAATCCCACATAACAGGACCTGGAGCAGACAGAACGGAGAGCTGGGTTTCCTCCAGTGTACAGATGGGCAGGCCTGCTGAGAAGGGACTTATGGGGCCAGACGATGAAGGGCTGGTAAGAGAAAAGCTGCCATGACTAATCCCAACTTCAAGTTCAAAGTAGGGTAAGAAAAGAGGTGGAAATACTTATCACATTTAATATCAAATTATCCTCCCAGTTTCATCTGTCACCTTCGAAACAAACCAGGAACATATGACCCTCCCCACTCCAGATTCCCGAAATTAAAAAATCTCGACATGATAAGAGAAATTTTTGTAAGGAAATATAATGATCTTCGCTGAGTAAGGATCTAAATTTACACTCATTATACGGTATCTTTATTTCATTTTTCCAGCTTCATTTTATAGTCACATTGTAATTATCTTTACCCTGCAGATCGTCTGTAGATCCCAAGGGGCTTCCTCCCCTGTTCTGGGGTGCCCTAAAATAAATGCATGCTCTGTGGTCTCTCAACCCACCCTCCCCCTTTTCCAGACATCCTAGTTCATGGTCATCTAGTCACCCAAGCTAGAGATCTGGGATTCACTCTAGACTTCTTTTTTTTTTTGAAACAGAGTCTCGTTCTGTTGCCCAGGCTAGAGTGCGGTGGTGTGATCTCGGCTCACTGCAACCTCCGCCTCCCAGGTTCAAGCTATTCTCCTGCCCCAGCCTCCTGAGTAGCTGGGATTATAGGCACGTGCCACCATGCCCAGCTAATTTTTGTATTTTTAGTAGAGATGGGGTTTCACCATGTTGGTCAGGCTGGTCTCAAACTCCTGAACTCGTGATCCGCCCCCCCTCGGCCTCCCTAACTGCTGGAATTACAGGCATGAGCCACCCCACCCGGCCTAGACTTCTCTCTTCCTCATGTACCACCATTTAGTGCAAACTGATGAATTCCCATAATGTCTATTTCCTACGCTGCGCTCAAATCACCACTTTCCCCACCCCTCCCTCTCCTGTCAACTCTTCTAGCACCGCCATCACTCAGGGAGCCATGCCTCTAGCATGAACTATGTTCACTGTGGTTCCTATTGAATACAAGTGCGAGGAGAACCAGTTCTAGAACACAGTCCCTCTGAAGTCCATCTCTAACATCATATGCATATGATTCATGTGACACAGCAGCAAAAAAAGGGGAGAAGGAAGCAACTTCCATGTCCATCAACGAACTAATCCTAGTTCCCAAACTCAGACCTAGGAGGGGTGAAGAACTCACAGAAGACCTAAAGGAACTGCAGGAAGGGTCTCAAACAGATATTTGTACACTCATGTTCACAACAGCATTACCCACAATAGCCAACAGGTAGAAGCAACCCGGGTACCCATGGATAGAGGAATGGATAAACAAAAGGTGGTACAGCCAGACAGTGGAATATTACCCAGGCTTAATGGGGAAGGAAATCCTGACCCATGCTGCAACATGGACAAACCTTGAGGACATTATGCTAAGTGAAACAGACCAGACACAAAGGACACATACAGTATGACTCCACTTATATGAGATCCCTAGAGTAGTCAAATTCGTGGAGACAGAAAGCAGAATGGTGGCTGCCAGGTGCTGGGGAGAGGAGGAATGGGGGGCTTGTTGTTTAATGGGTGCAGAGTGTCAGTTCTGCAAGATAGGAAGAGTTCAAAACATGGATGGTGGTGATGGTTGCGCAATAATGTGAATGTACTCAATGCCACCGAACTGCACATTATAAGATGATTACAATGAATTCGACCCAGCAATTCCATGACTAGGTATATACCCAAAGGAATGTGCACCATCCTACCATAAAGACACATGCATGCTACGTTCACTGCAGCACTGTTCACAGTAGTAAAGACATGGAATCAACCTAAATGCCCATCAATGGCAGACTGGATAAAGAAAATGTGTTACATATGCACCATGGAATACTATGCAGCCATAAAAAAGAACAAGATCATGTCCTTTGCAGGAACATGGATGGAGCCGGAGGCCATTAGCCTTAGCAAAAAAAAAAATGCAGGAACGCAAAACCAAATACTGCATGTTCTTACTCATAAGTGGGAGCTAAATCATGAGAACACATGGACACCTTGAGGGGAACAACGGATACTGGGTCTGCTTGAGGGTAGAGGGTGGGAGGAGGGAGAGACTCAGAACAAATAACTATCAGGTACTATGCTTAGTACCTGGGTGATAAAAAAAATCTGTACAGCAAACCCCCATGATATGAGTTTACCTATATAACAAACCTGTACAACTCCCTGAACATAAATAAAAGTTAAAACAACAAAAATAATAATATCTACCTCAAATAAATGGTTAAAAATGGTAAAGTTTATGTTATGCAATGTTTTAACACAATAAATAGGATGGTTAAAGAACCATCCTCGGGCCAGGTGCGGTGGTTCACGCCTGTAATCCCAGCACTTTTGGAAGCCGAGGCAGGCGGATTCTTAGGTCAGGAGATCGAGACCATCCTGGAAAACACGGTGAAACCCCATCTCTACTAAAAATACATAAAAAATTAGGCAGGCGTGGTGGTGGGCTCCTCAGCTACTCAGGAGGTTGAGGCAGGAGAATGGTGTGAACCCAGGAGGCGGAGCTTGCAGTGAGCCGAGATTGCACCACTGCACTCCAGCCTGGGTGACAGAGCAAGACTCTCTCAAAAAAAAAAAAAAAAAAAGAACGATCCTCATTGAAGAGGTAGCAGTTAGGGACATGGTGACACAGTCTAGCCTATTGCTTCCTGCCCCTCCCCTCTTCCTCTGACTCCCAAAGGCACTGTTGGTGGAACCACCAGCCTCCCACTGGACCCAGAAGTAAAAAGGAAGTCCAAGGGGACTCTAAATCCTGTCAACATATGACTTAATTCAAATATTAAATGCCATTAGTTTTGTTATTAACTATCCTGGGTTTAAAAATAGGTTCCAGAATTGCCTTTTCAGTACTCACAATTGTAAGAAAGAGGTTCTAAAAGAAAGTTCCATGAGAATCCCCTACAAAAACTGCAGAGGACTTCCTAGCAGTCTCCCTGGTTCAAATCTCCATGTGTCTCTCAGGATAAGGAATTACCTTGACAAATTTGAGATCCTTTTCCCTGTTACTTAACACCTCTCCATGGCTCTGCAATGCTCGCAGGATCAAGTCCAACTCTAGAGTGTGAGAGCAGCAGCTGGGCGGTTGGGAGAGCCGACTCCGCCATCTAGTCACCAGTGTAGACTCCCCGGGCTTGCAGCTGGCCCTACAGCCTGCTGCCAGGTGACCTCAACAAATCTCAGCCTCTCTGGCCTCAGTTCTTCCATCTGTAAAATGGAGACAATAGCAGTTCCTACCTCCTACAGTTGTTATAAGGATTGAGTGAATTAATATCTACGAAATACCAGACAATACCTTGCACATAATAAGGACTATGAAAGGGTTCATTATTGTTACAGTTTTTTTTTCTTTTTGAGTCAGAGTCTCGCTCTGTCACCCAGGCTGGAGTGCAGTGGTGTGATCTCAGCTCACTGCAACTTCCACCTCCCAAGTTCAAGCAATTCTCCTGCCTCAGCCTTCCGAGTAGCTGGAATTACATCACCACACCCAGCCTCAGTTCACTATTGTTATGATTTTGATAGGCAAAGGTCTTCACGATGTGGCCACAGCCTACTTTTTCCAAGTGCAACTTCTCCCCCTGGATTCCCACATGACATCGCTGCTGGCCTGTGCCCCAGCATGCCACACCTGTCTGTGCCTACAGCTTCTGCATCCACCATTGCTTCCACCTGGCGCACCCTCTCCCCTCCTGCCCCACATTGGCCCAGCAAACTCTAACAGGCATCTGTTTACCATCTACAGCTTTCCTGACTTCCGGTCAGGCATACGCTCACTTTCCTCTGTGTTTCTGCTCATCCTGGCCACCTCAGAGCAATCCCCACATGGATATTTCAGCTTCCCTGGCTCCCTGGGTAAGGAGCAGCGAGTTCCTGCAAGGCAAGAACTGAGCCACTCATCCCTGTACTCGCAGCCTCAAGTTAAGGGCCCTGCATATAGAAAATGATCAATAACAGCCGAGTGAATGAGGCCAGGCGCGGTGGCTCACGCCTGTAATCCCAGCACTTTGGGAGGCCGAGGCGGGTGGATTATCTGAGGTCAGGAGTTCGAGACCAGCCTGGCCAACGTGGCGAAATCCCATCTCTACTAAAAATACAGAAATTAGGTAGGCGGGGTGGCGCATGCCTGTAATCCCAGCTACTCAGGAGGCTGAGGAAGGAGAATCGCTTGTACCCAGGAGGCGGTTACAGTGAGCCGAGATCATGTCACTGCACTCCAGCCTGGGTGACAGAGCAAGACTCCATCTCAAAAAATAAAATAAAATAAGCTGAATGAATTGAGTGCCGAACTGAAGAGTGAGACAGTGACTAGGGATGAAGGGAGAGGAAAAAACAAGAAACAACCCAACAAGCGAGGCCTCCCTGCATAGAGGGAGAAGGGATGTGTTCGAATGAGAAGAAGCAGAGCAAGGTTTTGAATCACAGGAAGGAAAGAAGCTCAAGGCACATGAGGAAGAGCAAGCAGAATATGGGACATGGACCATCTGAGGCCTACAGAGCTCACCAGGCCTAACCTATACATGCTCGTGATAAGTTTAGACATGAAAACACAGACAGGCAAGGGGGAAATGAAGGCAGAGCATCGCTGTGTCTCAGCGTGTCCCCACACCTTAGTAAAGAGAGTTACAAGTGACTGTGAACTCGACAAAGGAGAAGGTTAAGGGTGGACGCATCTCAGATTAAACAGGAATCAAGTCAAACTCAGAGACAGCTTTTCCTTTTTTCTTTTTCTTTTCTTTTTCTTTTTTTTTTTTTTGAGACAGAGTCTTACTCTGTCTCCCAGGCAGGAGTGCAATGGTGCAATCATAGCTGAATGCAGCCTCAAATTCCTGGGCTCAAGTGATCCTCCCACCTCAGCCTCCAGAGTAGCTGGGACAACAGGTACGCACCACCAAGCCCTGCTAATTTTTTTGTATTTTTTTGTAGAGAGAGAGTCTTGCTATGTTGCCCAGACTGGTCTTGAACTCCTGGGCTCAAGCGATCCTCCCATCTCGGCTTCCCAAAGTGCTGGGATTACAGGTATGAGCCACCACACCTGGCCAGAGACAGCTTTTTCAACATATCTCTCCTTAGCAGGAAAGGAATAAATAGTGCTCGCAGGAAAGGAAGAAATCAGATCCATTCTGCAGGCAGGGAGCTCAGTGGAGAACCAGGAGGGGTGGGAGTGAAGGGGCAGGCATTCTAGCCCTGCCTTTCTTGATTCTCAGGAAGGAATGAGCTGAAAGGCCCTTGGCCAATACCCTGTCAACCTGGATAGCTCCTGCCCTGTTCCTCCTCAGGTTTTAGGCTGCTGAGCTCTAGTCAAAGGACCTCGGACACGGTTCACATGGTCACCTGATGTGTACACAGCCAGCACACAGCCAGCCCTACCCTGGCCACTAAGAAACAGGTTCACCACCTTGAACGAGGTGCTGTTTACAGTCAGCGGTCAACACAGACAGCATTTGGGTCTCATGCCCAAAGGTAAACATGAAAGAGAACCATAGAGGAAGCCACTCCCACATGGACCCAGACACATTGATCCAGACCAGGGGCTGATCCAGAGCAGGGCTGATTCCCACTTTGAAAGTGGGACAAAGCCTGTTTCCTGCAGCCTGCAGTGAACATGTGCGCTGGGGTGGGGGAATCAGTCACCAGTAGTGGCCACTCAGCCTCAAGCTTCAGATCGATACAGATACAGGCACACAAGAAAGTAGAACTAGAAAAAAGCATGGAGGAAAATAATGTGGGAAAAAGACACAAAGGGAGGAAGGAGGAAAAGGAGCAAAAAAGAAAGAGGGGAAGTCATAAAGCGGCTCTAACAAAAAGAAGGCAAATCAACCAGGGCTCCTGGAGCACAGCCCCACCACGCACACACGCACGCACGCACGTACACACACACAAGGTGGCTTGGTTTAGTACAGAGGTGGTGGCAGTACACTGGGCCATAAGCACACCTCAAGCCATGGTTTCTTGGGATTCAAAAACCACACACGACCGGGCAAGGTGGCTCACGCCTGTAATCTCAGCACTTTGGGAGCCGGAGGTGGGTGTATCCCTTGAGGCCAGGAGTTCAAGACCAGCCTGGCCAACATGGTGAAACCCTATCTCTACCAAAAACACAAAAATTAGCCGGGTGTTGTGGCAGGCACCAGTAATTCCAGCCACTCGGGAGGCTGAGGCAGCAGACTCGCTTGAACCCAGGAGGCAGAGGTTGCAGTGAGAAGAGATCGCGCCACCGCACTCCACCTGGGCGACAGAGCGAGACTCCATGTTGGAAGAAAAAAAAAAGAAGAAGAAAAAGAAGAAGAAGAAGCATACACAGTATTTTAGGGATTTTAGTGAAAAATTTACAATATGGGTAAATGCCCAAGATATGTCACTCTGTGGAAAAGGGAAGAAACAACACACAATACAAAAGCAATTGTGTTGACTATGCACAGAAAAGGTCTGGAAAATACATAAAAAATCTCACAGTGGTTATTTCTGAGTGGTGGGATTAGAGTTGATTTTTATACTCCTGGTCAAGTCTTTATATATCATACAAAGGAATGGCATGGCACACTTTCCTAAATTTAAAAAAGCTGCCCTAAATATACCATATAGAAAGCCAAAGTTTTCAAAAGCATTATAGAGAATTGTTATGAAATCCAGGAGGTAAATGCAGACCTCAAGGCTAGCTATATTTATATAATCATGGACATTTTTGAGACAATCTGAAAAACCTAACAATCTGGTTGTTTATTAACAAATGAACATTTGAAATCATTTAGACATATCTTCAAGTCCAAAGAAAAATCTAAAGCAATCAAGCAAATATTCACTATCCTTCTGTCTGGTATTCTCCCATTTATATAACTATCAGAATATGCCCTGATAAAGTGTTCGATACTTAAGAAGAATGGTACCCTAACACACCAAAAAAGTGACAACAGGAAAAAAAACAATCAGCCAGGAAGAAAAAAGGTTCTGAAAGAACTGATTATATACAATGACTGAAAAGATGAATCTAACACATGCATTTACCAAATCCTTTGAAAGGGTCATTTCCACTAAAGTGTTCTCCAAGTAAAATATAACATTGTTTTCTCCAGAAGGTGCACATTTTAAAATTGGATTCTTAAAAGCTTATGAAATAATATACTAATAAACACATTTACAAAAGCTTTTTATGATATTAGCTTTTCCCGGAAATAAGCTATCCAGGTTTCCACATCATAAGCTGTAGTTGTGTAGTTATGTGTTTATGAATTAGTCATTCCTGGGGAAGGTGGGTTGTTTATTTGCCATGACTGTAGCAGAGCACGGCAAACCTAGAAAGAGAATACGATGCAGATGTCCCCTTTCTTGGTTATGCCCCAGTGGAAGCCGTAAATATATTGCCATCTGCACACCTCTCAGGGAAGGCCTCGCTTGGAAGAAAGGGTTAATTGCATGAGCACCTTGTATGGGCTGAAATCCAGATATTTTCTAATTCTATATGAAAAGGGGAGGGGGGCGGGGGAACCTCTACCTTCTAACCTAGAATGCTGGGTCTAATTCAAGACTATAGAAATGCTGGGTGGCTTTTCTCTCCCTAAATAGAAACAAGGCCATGTTCCCATTCAGAGGAGACCCTTTAAGCTCAGCAGGCATGGACTTCAAGGGTCCCAGAATACAACAGGCTCCTTGCCCTACACAGCACCGCCCCCCTCCTCTCCTCACCCCATTTCCTCTTTATCCGGGGAGCTACAGGTCTCCATCCCCTCAGAATCTCTCCCTGTGGAGCCGTTCACTTGATTTCCATCCATGTGAATCCCCCACCTTGCCCGGGCAGGACGCTATGTAGACTGCTGAGGGCAGATGAGATTTGGGACCAGAAAGAGGCTGCTAAATAATGAATAAAAAGAAGCACCCCCAGCCCTCCAAGACCTAATTATTTGCTTGCCTGAATCCAATAAGAAAAACAACCCCATGAAAGGAAAGGATGACAAAGACAGAGGCTAATTCTTCTCAAACCTTCTGGAAATTCTAGTTCCGAAGGGGGAAGGTGTGGTCAGGGATTTGGGTGCAGATCAGACTTAAGAGCCCCTGACAAGCCTAAACTACTCCACGTCCGCCCATCACATGGGCTGGAGGGCAGGGTCATGGGGGGTTATAGGCACAAAGGGCCCCCACCAGAGGGCTGGCCCCTCCCCAGAGAACACAGGCAGTGCTCCTGTGTGGGGCTGTGAAGGAGTCTTTTTACTACTGTCCATGCCATGCCACTCCAGGACAACCTTTCCTCCCCTACTAGGGACACCCCCAATCATTCCAAACTCACCTCTCCTCTGCACCTGGGAACCAGCAGCATCCCAACAAATGCCCAGAAAGTTCTAGTTCCACCTCCGCCCCTGTGGCCCACAACATGGCTTTTATTTTCTCCAATCATACTTCACCACTTTAAAATTGCTTTTAAAAACCATATTTGAGGCCGGGCTCAGTGGCTCATGGCTGTAATGCCAGAACTTTGGGAAGGTAAGGCACGCAGATTGCTTGAGCCCAGGCGTTTGAGATGAGCCAGCCTGGGCAACAGAATGAAGACCCGTCTTTACAGAAAATATAAAAAAAATAGCTGGATGTAGTGTTAAGCACCTGTAGTCCCAGCTACTCGGGAAGCTGAGGCGGGAGGATCACTTGAGCCCAGGAGGTCAAGGCTGCAGTGCGCCATGATGGCACCACTGCCCTCTAGCCTGAGTGACAGAGTGAGACCCTGTCTCAAAACATAAAAATTAAAAAGCGTATTTGCATAAAATCGGTAGCTTGTATGAATGACATGAACTATATCAATTTCAATATCCTGGTTATGATATTGTACTGTAAACTTGTAAGATTTACCATTGGGTGAAACTGGATAAAGGGTATGCAGGCTATCTCTATTACTCCTGACAACTTCATGCAAATCTACAATTATGTCAATAAAAAATTCCATTTAAAAAACCTAAAGAACATATGTTGTAAACCTCATGTGAACAAAGACCAATCAAGAGATAATCCTACCTACAAATGATTACACAAACCCAGCCTGGGTTTTACAGGTGCTTCTGCAGCCCATTTATTCAACAAATACATATGCCATCCCTACAATGGGCTATGCCAAGCATTATGAAGTGTATCTCTGCTAACGCTCTCATAAAATGAGTGTTGATGAGAGAAAAGTCATCTATTCTAGGTAGACCTGGCATAACTGACAATTTCATTTTTTTAATCAGAGGTGAAAATATTTTGACATTCAGTGCATTTGAAAATGCATTAAGTAACTGCTCTCTTTAGGTTGGGACATGGCTCAAGTCACAATTCATAAGTTACCCTGGTCGCAGCTGTCAGGAAAACATGAGAGTGACTGGGCGCAGTGGCTCATGCTTATAATCCCAGTACTTTGGGAGACTGAGGTAGGTGGATCACTTGAGGCCAGCGGTTCAAGACCAGCCTGGACAAAATGGCAAAACCCCATCTCTACTAAAATTACAAGAATTAGCCAGGCATTGTGGCAGCTACCTGTAATCCCAGCTAATCGGGGGGCTGAGGCAGGACAATCGCTTGAACCCGGGAGGCAGAGGTTGCAGTGAACTGAGATCGCGCCACTGCACTCCAGCCAGCGTGACAGAGTGAGACTCCATGTCAATAAAAAAGAAAACATGAGAGTGGACACCCCTTTGCCGAGTCACAATATTTATTACACGTTCCACATGGCAGCATCTACCCATTCCTTCTGCGGGCCACGTACTGACAACAAGTTTCTCAGGCAGCCAAGAGAGGTGAAATTTCAACCTGAGTTCGAGGGCAACATCCTGGGGTGCTTGCTTTGCTTCAAAATGAGTCATCAAAACCCTATAAGCCTTTTGGCCAGGAAGTTCCAGAGATTTTAAACAAGCAAATGTGCCCCAGCTACGACAATCCCTGAAACATCCTGCTTCATTTTGCACCTGTCATCTGTCTGGACCAGATGTCGCTCTCAGCTCGTGTAAGAAGCCCTGTGTAGCTGCCGCCACGACCTTCCCATAAAAAACGTTCCCAAGACACATTTCCCAGGCACAGATCCTTCCTAAGGTCAGAGGCTTGAGAGGGGGACCATCTTCCTTGGCATATTTATTGCTGATGGCACTTACCAAAGTATTTTTAATGCATTATCTCATCTGTTACTTACAAATAACACCTCCCCCTAGGAAAACCTATTGACTTCTAAAAAAAAAAAAAAAAAGAAATTCAGAGACAGGGTCTTGCCCTGTCTCCCAGGCTGGAGTGTAGTGGTGTGATCATAGTTCACTGCAGCCTCCAATTCCTGGTCTCAAGCAATTCTCCTGCCTTAGCCTCTCAAGTAGCTAGGACTACAGGTATGTGCCACCACTCCCAGCTAAATTTTAAAAATTTTTGTTTGTTTGTTTTGAGACAGAATCTCGCTCTGTCGCCCAGGCTGGAGTGCAGTGGTGCGATCTCGGCTCACTGCAAGCTATGCCTCCCAGGTTCACACCATTCTCCTGCCTCAGCCTCCCAAGCAGCTGGGAATACAAGTGCTCACCACCACATCCAGCTAATTTTTTTGTATTTTTAGTAGAGATGGGGTTTCACCGTGTTAGCCAGGATGGGCTCGATCTCCTGACCTCGTGATCTGCCCGCCTTGGTCTCCCTAAAATTTTTTTTCGAGACGGTGTCTCACTATGTTGCCCAGGCTAGTCTCGAACTCCTGGCCTAAAGAGATCTTCCTTCCTCAACCTCCCAAGCAGCTGGGATTATAAGCATCAGCCACAGCATCCAGCCATAACCTCATTTTTTAAATGAAGAAACTGAGGCTAACTCTCTCAAATATTTGTCAATTCCTGGTTACTCAGAAATTGATGATTTATGATCATTTCAGTCTTTTTCTGGCCTCTTCCTATCTGCTTCTAGCAGTGGGCAGGCAGCAATCTAAAGAGAAAGAGAGAGTATGGGTCTCAAGTTAGGTGAAGTAGCAGTCCAGCTCATGACTCAAGAGATGACTTTGCATTTAGCCTCCCAGAACCTCTGTCTCTTCATCTGTAATGTGGAGTAATACCACACTGCAGCACCAAAGGGGTGATTAAATGCAACAACCTGGATAAAATACGAGGTGGTTGCTCAAAACATTACCTCTTTGATGCTTGTTAAAAATAAGATTGGCTCAGCTGGGCACAGGGGCTCACACCTGTAATCCCAGCACTGTGGGAGGCCAAGGTGGGTGGATCACTTGAGGTCAGGAGTTCAAAACCAGCCTGGCCAACATGGTGAAACGCCATCTCTACTAAAAATACAAAAATTAGATAGGCGTGGTGGTGGGCGCCTGTAATCCGAGCTACTCGGAAGGCTGAGGCAGGAAAATCGTTTGAACCTGGCAGGCAGAGCTTGCAGTGAGCCGAGATCACACCACTGCACTCCAGCCTGGGTGAAAGAGTGAGACTCCATCTCAACAAATAAAATAAAATAAAAATAAAAGATTGGCTCAATAGAAATAAGAATTAACAACCAAAGTAGAATTTTTGAATTATCAGAGAATTTTAATTATATGCAAAACTCTCTGAATTCAGGGGTAATTGGGGATTATCTATAATTAATGGCTGAGACAGAAACACCCAGATGAACAGGACTTTTATTTTCGCTTATCAGAGTTGGTAAAGAAATGCTGCCCCACTATCTTATCCTTCAATTAGAAATCTACCATTAAACCTCTGCACATAACTGAAATGCACAAACTGCGTGCTTTATGGGTGACGGACAAACCCAAGCTCTCACCCACCATTCTCATCAGATTTCAACATGACCACTGTAAAGGCATAATGGAATTTAGGATTGATTATTCCTTGCCCAATATCCAGAACGTCTCAGGAATGTGTGTGCTGTTGAATGTGATGTTCTGCTTTAGAGAATTGACTTGTGAATGGTTCTTAAGTGCTCAAATATGAAGAATATGAAATACAACAAAATACATTTGGGATGAATTTGATCACTCTTTTTTTTTTTTTTTTTAAGATGGAGTCTCGCTCTGTCACCCAGGCTGGAGTGCAGTGGCGAGATCTCGGCTCAATGCAAGCTCCGCCTCCCGGGTTCATGCCATTCTCCTGCCTCAGCCTCCTGAGTAGCTGGGACTACAGGTACCCGCCACCACACCCGGCTAATTTTTTGTATTTTTAGTACAGATGGGGTTTCACCGTGTTAGTCAGGATGGTCTCAATCTCCTGACCTCGTGATCCGCCTGCCTCGGCCTCCCAAAGTACTGGGATTACAGGCATGAGCCACGGCGCCCGGCCTTGACCACTCTTTTCTGCCTTGTCTGACATCAGCCACTAACACTAAACTCTCAAATTACAGTACACGTGGTGGGGGAGGGTAGGTAAAGCCACACGATCAAATGGTACACCTTCTGAGAGCATCAGCCTTGCTCAAGGTGAGTCTGCAAAAGCTCTGGAGATGGCCAGTTCATTTACTGACTACTCTCTGCACCTGGGAGTGCTCTGTGGCAATCGGAAAAGAGCTACTGAAGGAGAGGAAAAATACCAACTGATGGAAGACCCACCTGCCGAGGCCTCTGCTAGGTATCTGCAGAGTGTCCCATTTAATTTCTTACCTAGTCACTCAACAACCACGGGACAAAGAGGGGACCAACAGCCAGGAGCTTTTATTTATTGTTTTGAGATATACTTTAACCAGGTTTTCAGACCCCATCTAAGCAGGGGTGTATTAGTCCGTTTTCATACTGTTATAAAGAACTGCCTGAGTCTGAGTGATTTATAAAGGAAAGAGGTTTAACTGAGTCACAGTTCAGCATGGCTGGGGAGGCCTCGGGAAACTTACAATCATGGTGGAAGAGGAAGGAAGCAAGGCAGAAGGGGAAGCAAGGCATCTTCTTCACAAGGCGGCAGGAAGGAGAAGGAACGCAGGAGACACTACCACACACTTATACAACCATCAGATCTAGTGAGAACTCACTATCACGAGAACAGCATGGGGAAAACCTACCCCATGATTCATTTACCTCCACCTGGTCTCTCCCTTGACACCTGCGGATTATGGGGATTTATAGGAATTATAATCCAAGATGAGACCTGGTGGGGAAATAAAGCCTAACCATATCAGGGGGCGATACACATCAGCCCCTTCAACTCACCGAGAGGTGAGAAAAAAGCACCGAGAACATCGTAGTGAAAACAAAAGAGTGGTAATCTCAGAGGTGAGAAAACTGGCTGATAGAGACACAGATGTGCTGGCAGATTATGAATTCATGTTTACTTAAAAAGATAAGTTGTTGCATTATAAACAAACCACCAAATTTACTAACAACTAAAATACTGGTTAGTACCAACCTATGATATATTTATGCATAAATTTTTTAAAACTCTTAGAGCTGGCCAAGTGCAGTGGCTCACACCTGTAATCCCAACACTTTGGGAGGCTGAGGTGGGTGAATCATTTGAGGTCAGGAGTTCGAAACCAGCCTGGCCAACAAGGTGAAACCCCGTCTCTACTAAAAATACAAAAATTAGCCAGGTGTGGTGGTGTGCGCCTCTAATCTCAGCTACTCAAGAAGCTGAAGCAGGAGAATCACTTGAACACGGGAGGCAGAGGTTGCAGTGAGCCAAGATCACGCCATTGCTCTCTCCTGCCTGAACGACAGAGAAAGATTCCATTTCAGGAGGAAAAAAAAAAAAAAAAACTCTTAGAGCTTATTTTCATTCTCTAAGCCAAATAGGAAATAAGTTTGCTGTTATCGGTCTTGGACTCTAGATATGAGTGCCAGCTGCTGGTTGCCCAACAGAATTTTGACAAAAGATGTTTATTCTCTGGCATATGCTCATTTTTTCTTCCAGCCCAGATAGAGTGCTCTCTGTCTATGCTGCTAGGCTCTGCCCTGCAAGCTATTCTCACTAACACCACTTCACTGCAGAGGACTCCATTACCTTAACGGGTTAGAAATAAGAGCTCAAGCTGGGCATGGTGGTGCATGCCTGTAGTCCCAGCTACTCAGGGCAGGAGCTGAGATGGGAGGATTGCTTGAGCCCAGGAGGTCAAGGCTGCAGTGGGCTATGACCGTGCCACTGCACTCCAGCCTGGGAAACAGAGCAAGAACCCATCTCTAAAGAAAAAAGAGAATGAGAGCTCCACAACTCATATCAGCCCATTAGGCATGTCACATCTGAACTCTGACCCTTCTCATGTTTAATAATGCATGCTAACAGCAATATACAAATATCAGCTCTCTTTTTTGTAGTTGTTCCTGTTACTGTCATATTTTACAACAATTCTGTTAGATGGTCTTGAGACCTTCACAAATATGGTCCAATGCTTATAACCATTTATTCAAAAAAAAAAAAAAAATTCTTGGCCAGGCGCAGTGGCTCATGCCTATAATCCCAGCACTTTGGGAGGCCAGGGTGGGCGGATCACAAGGTCAAGAGATGGAGACCATCCTGGCTAACATGGTGAAACCCTGTCTCTACTAAAAATACAAACATTAGCTGGCCACGGTGGCGCGTGCCCGTAGTCCCAGTTACTCGGGAGGCTAAGGCAGGAGAATTGCTTGAACCTGGGAGGCGAAGGTTGCAGTGAGCCAAGATCACGCCACCGCACTCCAGCCTGGCAACAGAGGGGAAGACTCTGCCTAAAAAAAAAAAAAAAAAAAAAAAAAAACTCTTCATAGGCCAGAAATTCAAATTATCCATTTAGTAATGAAAAATAAGTGAATTTTCATAAAATTAACAGAATTTGGACTTCGACAGAACACAAACTCTTAGGAGCACGCACTCATTCTTTCGCTGAGTCGCAAGGGAGTTAGGGGTCTTGGTATATAAGACGTAAGAAGCGCTGGGTGGGAATATTCTGGTGAAGTGGATCCGAGAGAAGCGTGTTCATTGTTTCAGAGAACAGGGAACAGTTCCCAAGAAAAACAGTGTTTGGTTTCTGTGATGAGCAACAAACTTCCTCCTCCAAAGATACGTGGCAAAACAATACGGTCTCCACTCAAGGCATCTACTCTAAGAGATACCTTGGCTACCATCATAGAAGAACACCTAAAAATAACTGTGAAATATTTCCACCACTGTTGGGTTACTTTTGGGTATTCTTACTTTGAAAGCTTCTTTTTTTTTTTTTTTTTTTTGAGATGAAGCCTCGCTCTGTCACCAGGCTGGATTGCAATAGCATGATCTCAGCTCACTGCAACCTCCACCTCCCAGGTTCAAGCAATTCTCCTGCCTCAGCCTCCGGAGTAGCTGGGACTACAGGTGCACGCCACCACACCCAGCTAATTTTTGTATTTTTAGTAGGGACGGGGTTTCACCATGTTGTCCAAGATAGTCTCGATCTCTTAACCTCGCGACCCGCCCACCTCGGCTTCCCAAGGTGCTGGGATTACAGGCGTGAGCCACTGCGCCCGGCCAAAAGCATCTCTTCTTTAAACTGCTACCCCAAATAGTAAAAAGCATTAAAGAATCAGACGACTCCTACCCAACTGCCCTTCGTCCTTTCTTACTTTTGCTACCCTATTCTTATTTCCTGCCTAGAAAGTAAATTCAGAAAGATAACACAACACGCAGAGCACGGAACATGTATCCTCAGAGTGGCCAGGTGCCTTTCTACATCCTTGAGTACAGCTGCTTATGGAAAATCAAACCTGCTCTGGCAGGGTTGTCTCACTGGCAGCAATGGTGGATGAGGACGATCCTGTCCTCACAGGCTGGCTGCAGCAACTGCCCTGGCCAGCCCCAGAGATGCTGTCCAAGCTTCCTGTAAGGTGAATTGAGGAGGCAGAGTGGAGGTCCTTCTGCAGTCACTACCTACTTTTTTCCTTTATCTACCAGGAAGCAAAGATCACATCCTCCCAAGTCCACCCTGAGATTCTAAGAGGACAGATCTGACAAAGCTCTGAATCAGCTAGTCCTCAAAGAGAGTCCAACCCTTTTAAGCAATTAAGAATTGGGAGGCCAGGAGTGCTGGCTCACACCTGTAATCCCAGCACTTTGGGAGGCTGAGGTGGGAGGATTACTTGAAGTCAGGAGTTCAAGACGAGCCTGGGCAACATAGCAAAACTCCATCTCCACAAAAATTAAAAATAAAATAGGGTTGGGCGCAGTGTCTCACACCTGTAATCCCAGCACTTTGGGAGGCCGAGGTGGGTGGATCATGAGGTCAGGAGTTCAAGACCAGCCTAGTCAACAAAGTGAGACCCCATGTCTACTAAAAATACAAATAGCCAGGTGTGGTGGCAGGCGCCTGTAGTCCCAGCTACTCAGGAGGCTGAGGCAGGAGAATTGCTTGAACCCAGGAGGAGGAGGATGCAGTGAGCTGAGATCGCACTACTGCATTCCAGCCAGGGTGACAGTGCAAGACTATTTCAAAAAAATAAATAAATAAAATAAAATAAGCTGGGCATGGCAGTGCAGACCTGTAGTCCCAACTACTCGGGAGACTGAGGCAGGAGGATCGCTTGAGCCCAGGAGTTCAAGGCTGCAGGGAGATATGATCACACCACTGCACTCCAGACTGGGCAAGAAAGTGGAACCCCATCTCTTCAAAAAAAAAAAAAAGAATAGAGAAATAGGAAATACGACAACAAGCTTTCATTACCACCTTTTTGTGCATTTCCTAAAATGACAGAGGATGTCTGCTACTCCTGGAGCTTTTCCTTAATATACCATACAGTGGAGTTTATCATGATTAGGAAATAAGAATCTGTATGACTTTGCATTTTTTTCACCCTGAAAACAAAGCCGATTTCTGGTGTTTTCATAACTAGATCACAGATCTAGCAATGCTTGTGAATACGCCGGTTCCATGTCAGATGGAGCTATAGTCTGCACTGGTTGTCAGGAAAAGCCCAGACTCGCAAATCTGGCTGCCCAGTCTGTGTTATTTTTCCTTCATTCTCTGAGCAAAACTTAACTCTTGCTGTTGCAGACCTAGAGATGCTGGAAGCAATAACACCGCCTTTCCCCACGGCTTTGATCCATGTTGCTCATTATTTCTCAAGTTTCACCAACATTTAATTGAACCCAAAGAGACAGAGAAAAATCTCTCTTGCAAACTAATCATTTCATCGTAAAAATTTTAAAAATAACCACATTAATCTTTCATCGAATTCAGAAACTATGACAGATAAGTCTGCCACTAAAAAGACAAGGAAGAGAAAATATAAATAAATAAACACAAGACAAATATGTTTCAAATATCTACATTATCTACCATGGAGCTATCGCCCTGGGATTCTCAGACAATGACTGTCATGAAGACATATGGAATATGAGGGCTATGTGATTTATCTGAGTGTATGCGTGGGTTTTTTTTTCAATTTTCTGTAGCTAATATATCACAGTGAAGAGGAATTTTTTTAAACTACAGAATAGAAAAAAATAGACTCGTCACAGTAATGTCTCATCACCTAATAATCTATGGTTATAGTCACAAATCATTCAGAGAACATTAACCCCAGAATAACCTGACTGTTGTGAAAGCAAACTATCATGATCAAATCCACTTTTTATTTATTCAACTAAATTCTAGTTTTCCACCAACACAGTAGTGGGCTGGGGCACAGTCACCTGCCATAACGTGGTTTTTTTTATTTGAAACTTATCTGAAGTGATAATTATATTATGATAAAATATAATCCTGGCCCGGCACCGTGGCTCACGCCTGTAATCCCAGCAGTTTGGGAGGACGAGGCAGGTGGATCGCCTGAGGTCAGGAGTTTGAGACCAGCCTGGCCAACATGGCAAAACCCCGTCTCTACTAAAAATACAAAAATCAGCCACACGTGGTGGCGCATCCCTGTAATCCCAGCTACTCAGGAGGCTGAAGCAGGAGAATCACTTGAACCTGGGAGGCAGAGGTTGCAGTAAGCCGAGCTCACACCACTGCACTCCAGCCTGGGCAACAGAGCGAGATTTCATCTCAAAAAAAAAAAAAAAAGGAAAGAAAGGAAGGAAGGAAGGAGAAAGAAAGAAACTTATCTGAAGTGATAATATGATGATAAAATGTAATCCTGACTGCTGTAGCAAAAGATTAAATGTAAGATTTTACACCACTTTATTATCCTAGGTGCAAATATTGTTCAAAGGGCCAGGCGCAGTGACTCACACCTGTAATCCTGACACTTTAGGAGGCTGAGGCAGGAGGATCGCTTGAGGCCAGGAGTTCAAGAGACCAGCTGGGCAACAACACAGTGAGACCTCATTTCTACAAAAAATATTAATAATAACAATAAAATTAGTTGGGCATGACAGCACACACCTTTAGTTCCAGCTACTTGGAAGGCTGAGGTGGGAGGATCACTTGAGGCCAGGAGGTAGAGGCTGTGGTGAGCTATGATCGTGCTACTGCACTCCAGCCTGGGTGACAGTGCAAGACCCTGTCTTTAAAAAATAAAATTAAAAAAATACTGTTTGCAAATGCATGATGAACACATAGGAATATGTATCAGCAATGAACGTCCCCTCTGGCCTCAGCATGGACTCCTCTCGCCTTCCTCTCTAGGTCCTGCCGCATGAGCCTTCTCTTCCTCACTAATCACCTTTTTGTCATGTGTTTGCCCCCTCAAGAATGCCAGCTCTGGGAAAGCTTGGACCTTAATGCTTCTGTTGACAGCTGTATCCTCGGCATGTGCAACAGCAGACAGTGCATGGGAGAGGCTCGGTATGCATTTGCAGATTGAATGAATGAATGAATGCACTGACTTTGCTTCTGAGCTAAGAAATGCAGTCAACCACCTTCACTCTCCACCACCTGCTCTTGGTCTCATTCAAAGTCAAAGGCATTCCCTGGCTGATTTGCTTTTGCTGGTTGCTGACTTGCTTTTCTACATGATTCAAAGGTCAACACAATCCATCAAAAGACCCATGCAAAGGAGGCATTCCGACACCTATTCCCAATCACTCCCTTCCCCTGTGCCTCAGACAGAAGAGCATTTTATTATAACTTGTTTATCCTTCCAGTGTTTCTTGATGCAAATATAAGTAAATTCACATACATATGTTCGTATGTCCATCTTTCTTTTTTTTTTTTTTTTTTTTTGAGACAGAGTCTTGCTCTGTCGCCAGGCTGGAGTGCAGTGGCATAATCTCAGCTCACTGCAACCTCCGCCTCCTGGGTTCAAGCAATTCTCCTGCCTCAGCCTCCCAAGTAGCTGGAACTACAGGCTCGCGCCACTACACCCAGCTAATTTTTGTATTTTTAGTAGAGATAAGGTTTCACCATGTTGGCCAGGATAATCTCAATCTCTTGACTTCGTGATCCACCCGTCTCGGCCTCCCCATGGGATTATAGGTGTGAGCCACTGCGCCCGGCCGCCCAGCTTTCTTATACAAAGAGCAGCATACTCCATGCACTGTTTTTCACCTTGCGTTTTGTACTTGTTAATGTACCTGGAAATCTTCCCATTTCAAAACACTTTTTTTTTTTTTGAGACAGAGTCTCGCTCTGTCACCCAGGCTGGAGGGCAGTGGCTCGATCTCGGCTCACTGCAACGTCCACCCTCTGGGTTCAAGCGATTCTCCTGCCTCAGCCTCCAGGGTAGCTGGGATTACAGGCACGTGCCACCACTCCCAGCTAATTTTTGTGTTATTAGTATACACAGGCTTTCACCATGTTGGTCAGGCTGGTCTCGAACTCCCAACCTCAAGTGATCTGCCCACCTTGGCTTCCTACAGTGCTGGGATTACAGGCGTGAGCCACCATGCCTGGACAGAAACACAGATTTTTATCATTCTCTTTAACAGCTGCATAGCGTTCCACTGTCGATACACACCATCACCCCTTTAACCAGTCCCTTATTGACTGATGGCCACTTGGCGGCTTCCAACACTCTGGTGTCACAAAGCTTCAATGATAATTGTGAGCAAATGTCATTTCATCACATGTGGGGGTGTATCTGCAGTAAAGATTCCCAGAAACAGGACTGCTGGGTCAAAGGGTAAATGTATCCGTAATGTTAGTTCATGGCACCAGATGCCCCTCCTGTAGGGTTGTTTAAAAGTACTGTTAGGTGCTATAAAAAGGTAGAGATTTTTTTTTTTTTTTTTTTTTTTGAGACAGAGTCTCACTCTGTCACCGAGGCTGGACTGCAGTGGCGCAATCATAGCTCACTGCAGCCTTGACCTCCTGGGCTCAAGTGATCCTCCCGCCTCAACCTGGGACAACAGGCACGTGCCGCCATGCCTGGCTAAGATTTAAATTTTTGTAGAGACAGGCCCTCACCATGTTGCCCAGGCTGAGTGATACTTTAAATGTATATGTGTGGTATAGGTCCTGAGAATGTTTTCCATTCTTGTCACGGGGACTGTTAACCTATTTCTTTACTTTCATAAAACACGGGATCTTTTAAAATTTAAATCAATGCGGCATCCCCCACTGGTGGTCTGAGTTCACCTTCCCTATTAAACTTGCATCCAACAATTCTCTTAGGCTAACAGGTTTCCCCTCTAGCAACCTATTGGAAGAAAACAGCCCCTCTCAAAAAGACTTGAAAGCCTAGTTAATATGGGTGGAATTAAATTTTTATAAGAGCATTCAGGAATTCTAAATCAGCAGCAAATATTTTTCTCATCACAAGACACACAATGACATGGAAATCAAACATAAATGAATATTTTAAAACTTTATTCATTCCAATTCAGGGGATCCCCAAACCTAGTTTATATTCCCAGAGTTTTTAGTAATTCATGACTTTTTCACAGTGAGAATCTATAATGAGAAAATGGTGCCTATCTGCAGAAGCGATAAAGGGTTCTTTCCCACCCAAGCTTCTGGAGAAGGCATGAGGAAACAATGTACTTTCACATGAGAATCTCAGATTTCAGGAAATTGACCTTCTGACTTAGAACATTTATTATGGGCGGGGTGCACCAAAGCAATGATCTGCTTTCATACTGGCACGAACTGGCTAAATACAAGTCATATGAGACTAAATTCACTCCTTTGTTTAATATGGTTTTGTATAACACCTTCAGTTTACTTTAAAATCATTTGGCACGGACAGCATGATATTCTCCATGGGCTAGTTGCTGTAAATGTCAATTCTAAGAACAGTCAGTTAACCTAATCAATAACTCATACTCCATCCACCAAAGACATGGACAAGAATGTTTTCAGCTGTTTGCTTCATATTGTCCCAAACTGGAAACAACCAAATGTCCATCAACTACAGAAAGGAACCTAAACTTTATATGATGGAATTACAGAGCAATGGGGAAAAAACGAACAACTTTTACATACAACAACATGAATCAATGTCATAAAACATAAGTGCAATTCCATTTATATGGAATTTAAAAGCAGGCAAAACTAATCTAAGGTGACAACAGTCAGAACCGTGATTACCAGGCTGGACATAGTGGCTCATGCCTGTAATCCCAACACTTTGGAAGGCCAAGGCGGGCGAACTGCTTGAGCCCAGTAGTTTGACACCAGCCTGGGCCACATGGCAAAACCCCTGTCTCTACAAAAAAATACGAAAATTAGCTGGGTGTGGTGGTGCATACCTGAAGTCTCAGCTACTTGGGACACTGTGGCAGGAGGATTGCTTAAGCCCGGGAGGTCAAGGCTGCAGTGAGCCCTGGTCATGTCACTGCACTCCAGCCTGAGCTACAGAGCAAGACCCTCTATCCTTATGCGAGATTCCTAAAAAGGTCCAGCCATTGGTTTGGGAAATTTCTGGCTGCCTGAGGCTCCTCCTAGGGTAAGAGAACCCTGGTTTTGGAATACTGGAAAATCTGCCTCGAGGGAAGCTTTCATCCAAAGTGGCACTCAGAGCACACAGTAAGGCACAGAGCAGGGACTCCTGATGACAGAACCACCACCCAGACTGTACTCGGCCAGCCGGCCGGCCTGCTCACACATTTCCTAAATAAGGGATCTTATGTGAATTTGGTATGAAACTTGCTTGCATTATAACCTGGCAATGAGAATGTAGGAGAACAGCTAACTGTCATTCACCTAAAATTTTACCTACTAAAAAACCTGAGCGCGGACAGCCAGTCTGGCTTAGTTCCATTCTCCAGAGGTTTGCAGATTATTAGGTGAGTGGCAACATAGCGCAGGCACAGAGGCTCACACCTGTAATCCCAGCACTTTTAGGGGCTGAGGCAGGAGGATCACTTGAGTCCAGGATTTCAAGACCAGCCTGGGGAACACAGCGAGACTCCATCTCTACAAAAAATTTTAAAATTTGCCAGGCATGGCAGTGCACGCCTATAGTCCCAGCTACTCGGGAGGCTGAGGCAGGAGAATCGCTTGAGCCCAGGAATTTGAGGCTGCATTGAGCTATGCTGTGCCACGGCACTCTTAACCCAGGTGACAAAGTAAGACCTTGTCTCTAAAAAAAAATTAAAATTCGGCCGGGAGTGGTGGCTCACACCTGTAATCCCAGCACTTTGGGAGGACGAGGCAGATGGATCACAAGGTCAGGAGATTGAGACCATCTTGGCTAACACGGTAAAGCCCCGTCTCTACTAAAAGTACAAAAAATTAGCCAGGCGTGGTGGCACGCGCCTGTAGTCCCAGCTACTCAGGAGGCTGAGGCAGGGGAATTGCTTGAACCCAGGAGGCGGAGGTTGCAGTGAGCTGAAATCGCGTCACTGCACTCCAGCCTGAGTGACAGAGCGAGACTCCATCGCGAAAACAAACAAACAAAAAAATTAAATTCAAAAACAGAATGACAACCTGCTGTCCACATAATATAGTAAGAAATTTCCTTATAAATGAAATGAAGACAGGAGCTAGAAGCAAGAAAAACTGGACCGATAAACACCTGCACAGCAAGACCCAACCAGGGGAAGGGTTTCAACAGCCCCCCCAGAGCTCTGCTGCTGGCCCCTTCCTCTTCAGCATTTTTATTGGTGACTTGTACAGAGAGAGGATACGATCATCATGTTTGTGGACAACCCAAAATTAAACTAAACTCAGAATTCTAAAAAGATCTTGACAGGCTGATATAATGAGCTGGATCTCACAAGATTGTGCATAAAAATTAACAACTCAGAACAAAACAGGCAAGGCTCCATGATAAAATGTATCCTAGTTGTTACATTTAAAACTTTAGGGGTTTTGGATAACCAGCAGTTCAGGTAAGTCCATGTAAGTCAGAAGTGTGTTGTGGTTGCCAAAAATGCAATGCCTGTATTATATTTCAACGAAAGTTTCCTTTTAAAAATGTAATGCAACATAGTCATACACCAATATTCCTAGCAGCATGATTCACAATAGCCAAAAGGTTACTCAGACAGTCCATGGACAGATGAATGGGTAAGCGAAATATGATCTAGCCATACAATGGAATATTATTCGGCCTTAAAAAGGAAGAAAATTCTGGCCGGGCACAGTGGCTCATACCTGTAATCCTAGCACTTTGGGAGGCCGAGGCAGGCGGATCATGAGGTCAGGAGTTCAAGACCAGCCTGGCCAACACAGTGAAACCCCATCTCTACTAAAAATACAACAATTAGCCGGGCGTGGTGGCAGGCGCCTGTAATCCCAGCTACTCAGGAGGCTGAGGCAGGAGAATCGCTTGAACCCAGGAGGCGGAGCTTGCAGTGAGCCAAGACTGCACCACTGCACTCCAGCCTAGGCGACAGAGTGAAACTCCATCTCAAAAAAAAAAAAAAGAAAAAAGAAAAAGAAGAAAAGTCTGACCCATGCTTCAAACTGGATGGGTCTTGAGGACTGAGTGAAATAAGCCAGTCATAAAAAGGCAAATATTGACGAATCCACTTCAACAAGGCCCCTAGAGTAGTCCAATACATAGAGGGAGAAAGTAGAATGGGGCTGGCCGTAGACTGGGAGGAGAGAAGATGAGGAGTTGCTGTTGAATGAGGGCAGAGTTTCTGTCTGGGAAGATGAAAAAGTTCTGGAGATGGATGGTGGCGATGGCTGCACAACAATGTGAATATACTTCATGCCACTGAACTGTACTCTTAAAAACAGTCAAAATGGGCCAGGCGCGGTGGCTCATGCCTGTAATCCCAGCACTTTGAGAGGCCAAGGCGGGAGTTCAAGACCATCCTGACCAATATGGTGAAACCCCGTCTATACTAAAAATAAAAAAATTAGCCAGGCATAGTGGTGCATACCTGTAATCCCAACTACTCGGGAGGCTGAGGCAGGAGAATTGTTTGAACCCAGGAGGCGGAGGTTGCAGTGAGTCAAGACTGCACCACTGCACTCCAGCCTGGGCGACAGAGTGAGACTCGGTCTCAAAAAAAAAAAGTCAAAATGGTCAAACTTACATTAATACATATTACTATAATGTGTATTGATATATGGACCATAATGCATATTTATACATACAAATACATATACAAATAAATGTATATTTATACATTATAAATAATTGTACTGTATTGTATACAATATTGTATATTTATACAATTATTTATAATGTATAAATATTTATTCAGTCCACATAACATTCTGAGAAATTTCCTTATGATTTCTTTGTAAATGAAAGGAAGAAAGGGGCTAGATGTGAGAAAAACTGGACACTGTATATTTATACAATATAAATCAATATAAATAATTGTATAAATATTGTAAATTCAGTTTACAATAATACATATTACCATTTTTTTAAGAACCCAAAAAATGCAATGCAATCATCTGCTCCATTAATGTGAACAAAGGTCATTGTCGGGTTCCATACGCTGCTCTCAGAACACACCTGAAAACACTGTGAAAACAGGCTTGCAAAGGGATCCGCAAACATCGCCCACCTGACTCGCCTGCTCCACGAGACTCTCCTCCTTCCCTCTCAAGTGGGCTTTGCCTCTGAACCTGGATGGTTCCTCTCCCTCAATTAAGGGGCTATTGGCCACTTGGAAAAGGAGGCGGCCCCCAGCACATGTGCTGCTTCAGATCCCCAATGTCTCTGTTGCTCTGGTTCCTGGGACCCCGGTGGTCGAAGGCCCATCGGCCAGAGTAGCCCCCGGGACACTGAGAACATGGACATCCCCCAGGGAATCTTCCAGAAGCCTTAGCTCCCTGTCCCACTTCGTCTCTGACCCACTCTCCAACACACACACACACACACAAACACATAACCATCCTCAAGTCTCTGCCTCCCAATGCAACAAAGGATTGGTATATTCATTTACTCCACAAATATTCAGAGTTTGAGAGAAATTGTAAAATAAATTCTTTGAAAGATTTACCAGTTCAAGAAATGCATATCATGTATATGAATGACAATTAATATTTATTAAGTGCCACTATTATCAGAATTTATCTCATTTCTCTCGCCCCCTCTAAATAAATTAGTCTGTGAAGCTGAGACAGGAAAAGAGCTGCCCCAGGGTGGAAATCCTCAAATGGAGCCAGGGCACTGGGTCCCTGGGGATACCAGGTCCCAAGAAGAGGGCAAGAGTGAAGATGGAGCAGGTTCCCAATGTCTACAGAGGAATCTCCTCCAGGCCCTCCTACCTCTTCCTCCTCCCAAGGCAAGAGAACAGACTTACCCAGCTGGCCAGGAGGGGATGGAGGGCACCAGCCCAGCTCCTTCTCCCTCCTTTCTCTTGGGAACCCGTGGGAAGCCCACAGACTACATCTCTCCTCTGGGCCAGAGGAGGAGCCTGCAGGGGGCTAGGCGGACTGCTTCTGAGGTTGAGAGTGAGGAAGCCCTTTATTAAAACATGCCCCAGTCCTCCAATGGAACTTTTATCAGGAATGAATTTAACATTTTGATCTCCACCTGCCTGGCCCCTCAGCCCTACTTCTCAATTGGTTCAGAGCTCATGTGGGAAAGAATGGTTCTCCTCACTCCCCGGCCCATGGCAGACACCCAGCACCGCACCTCTTACATGGCGGGCAGGTCTAGGTGGGAGGTCTTCAAAGCTGGTTCTCACAGTGGGAGCCTGCATGAGGCGCAGGACATGCCAGTTGGCTCATAACCTCTGGGGCCAGCAGCACCTGATAGCCGCCAGGCAGTCAAAGCATGAGTTTTTCATCCTTCTTTTATTCTGGAACAATGGGAGTTTCCTTAGACAGGTAACCCAATAGACCCAGCATTTAGCCTCCTTGAAGAAAACACCAGAGTCTCAAATAACAAAACAAAACTAAATGCAAAGGGCTGTCCAAGTCCTCACTGTAACTCGAAATGGCATTGGGAACATTTATGGAGACTAGAAAATACAAGACCTCAAACCTGCTGGGTCTCAGACCAGGACACAGCCTCCTTCTCTCTGGCCAGTACACAAGTCATCAAACCACTGTCCATGTGTGAGCTGCCCAATCTACAAGCCAAGCCCAGCTGGAGACACCACTAACCCATCCCTATTTATTCTCTTAACCAAATAACTTCCAGATTTCCATTTCACCTGGCTAGAGAGCCACGTTTATGTCTCTAAAGCTTCGATCCTTCTTTAAGAACAAGAAATTAACAAAATCACAACGGCTCTTCCTAATGGTATTAAACATAAAACTTTCACGCTTATATAAACCTGAGAGCTCATGGAGTTAGTTCCACCTCCTCATTCCCCACACGAAGAGACTGTGGAGCTGTAAACTCAGTATATAACCCAAATGTAACTGGGGAAACTGGAATACAAACTGGATATTAAGAAATTAGTATTAATTGTATTAGTTGTGATAATGCTATTTTAATTACATAGGGAAACTTCCTTCTTCCTTCCTTCCTTCTTTCCCTTTTTCCTTCCCTCCTTCCTTCTTTCTCTCTCTCCCCACCCTCCCTCCCTTCCTTCCTTCTTTCCTTCCTTGGGTGAAGGAACAGAGATTGACACTACTGTTAGTATGGGTGTAACATCAAGATGTCTCCAATTTACTTTTTTTATATACGTGTGTATTTTTTTTGAGATGGAGTCTCGCTCTGTCGCCCAGGCTGGAGTACAGTGGTGTAATCTCGGCTCACTGCAACCTCTGCCTCCCAAGTCAAGCGATTCTCCCACCTCAGCCTCCCAGTTAGCTGGGATTACAGGCGCCTGCCACCATGCCCAGATAATTTCTATATTTTTAGTAGAGGTGGGGTTTCGCCATGTTGGCCAGGCTAATCTCAAATTCCTAACCTCCAGTGATCCACCCACCTAGGCCTCCCAAATGATTATAGGCGTGGGCCACCACGCCCGGCCAACATGTGTCTTTTTTTAAGCTTTACTGAGGTATGACTGACAAATAAAAATGGTATATATTTAGGTATACAACATGATGTTTTGATATATGTATACATCGTAACATGATGTTTTGATATATGTATACATCGTAACATGATGTTTTGATATATGTATACATCATAAAATGATCACCATGATCAAGCTAACATACCTATCAACTGCCATCATCACCCCTTGTGTGCGTGTGATGATGGCACTTGAGATCTACTCTCTTAGCAAATATCTTCACTTTTTTTTTTTTTAAACAGCTGGCCTGACCTAGGGTATACACAGCTGGTTAGTGGACGAGCTGGTTAACAGCAAGCGTGGTTCCTGCCAAGGCTGTTTTCAACATGCTATACTCTCAACACGGGAGCAGCTACACAAGACGACGGGGCCCTTCACACAGCCACACGGACCCTGCCCACTCAGCTTGGGGAGGTTCTACGTGCTCCCAATGAGGATGGCAGACAAGCCACACTTCAATGAGAGTAACTTGCTAGGTTGGCCTCTTTATCTGATTTTAATGGCCAAATACTCATGTAACATCGGCCCAGGTAACATTTGTTCTGAGTTTCAAAGACCACATCAGTGCACCAAGGAACTGGAATCTTTCATAACATAGTAACATGACGTAATAGAATCTGGATAGAATCATACAATAACAATCACAAACCGCTTGCTGTGTACCAGGAACTATTCTAAGTGTTTACAAGAATGATCTCAGTAAATCACAACATCCGATGAGATTATTATCTCCATCACATTGATGAAGTAACCAGGGCACAGAGAAGTTAAGAAAACCACCAAAACCACGGAGCCCTACACGACAGTCAGCGTTTTGGATGACTCAGCCGTACGTGCCCCTGTGATCACACTCCATTTCCGGATAGTCACATTTCATGTTTTTCACCGGGAGGAATGGTCCGGGGATAATTTCTTCTCATTCCTTTCTTTAAAAATAGTACAAAAGGATAAAAACAAAAAGTAAAAGAGAAAAATAAAATCTGCCACAGAGGCTAAAACAACATATCTGATGTCGAAAAAATGTTTTTCACTTTGTTTTTCTCAACAAAAATTCAAATCACTCAAGTACTGCTTGACTCTTCTCCAAACAAACCTAGGCAAGAAGTCCGTAGTATCTCTAAACAAACCCAGGCAAGAATCCACACGGCTCTACAGTTTCTCCTCCAGAGAACTCTGTGGGCCAGGCATGGTGGCCCATACCTGTAATCTCAGCAACTTTGGGAGGCTGAGGCAGGAGGATCACTTGAGGCCAGGAGTTCAAGATCAGCCTGGGCAATATAGAGAAACAAAAAAAAAATAAAAATTAAAATAAGCAAAAATAAAAATACAAAAAGTAAAAATAAGTAAAAAATCCAGGCATCGTGGCTCACGCTTGTAATCCCAACACTTTGGGAGGCCAAGGCAGGAGGATCACTTGAGGCCAGGAGTTCAAGATCAGCCTGGGCAATATAGAGAAACAAAAAAATAAATAAATAAAAATAAGTAAAAATAAAAATACAAAAAGTAAAAGTAAGTAAAAAAGTCCAGGAGTCGTGGCTCATGCCTGTAATCCCAACACTTTGGGAGGCCAAGGCAGGAGGATCACTTAAGGTCAGGAGTTCGAGACTAGCCTGACCAACATGGTGAAACCCTGTCTCTACTAAAAACAGAAAAAAATTAGCCAGGTGTAGTGGCACACACCTGTAATCCCAAATACTTGGGAGGCTGAGGCAGGACAATCACTTGAATCCAAAGGCAGAGGTTTCAGTGAGCCGAGATTGTGCCATTGCACCCTAGCCTGGGCAACAAGAGCGAAACTCCATCTCAAAAAATAATAATAATAAAAATAAGTAAAAAAAATAAATCAGCCAAGCATGGTGATACATACCTGTAGTCCTCGTTACTCAGGAGGCTGAGGCAGGAGGATCACTTGAGTCCAAGAGTTCAAGACTACAGTGAACTACAAAATTAACTTAAAATCAATATTTTTTTTTGAAATAGGATCTCACTCTATCACCAAGGCTGGAATGCTGTGGCACAATCTTGGCTTACTTCAGTCCCAACCTCTCAGGCTCAGGCAATCCTCCCACCTCACTCTTTTGAGTAGTTGGGACCCCAGGTGCACACAACTACACTCAGCTAATTTCTTAATTTTTTGGAGAGACGGGGTCTTGCTATGTAGCCCAGGCTGTTCTCAAACTCTTGGCCTCAAGCAATCTTTCTGTCTCAGCTTCCCAAAGTGTTGGGATTACAGGCATGAGCCACCACACCTAGCCCTAAAAATTTAAACATTTTAAAAAAGGAAAAAACTATCTGAAGGCTGCCCAGTGGCCAGCAGAGGCCTCTCATCATGATATATCAGAAAGTTACCAGTTATTCCCTTTAAGGACTCTAGGTGAGTTTCTGCAGAAAGAGTGACATGGGAAATAAATTGTTGTTGGCCTTCCAATACCTTTGCTAACTTCTCCAGTATTGATAATGACTTCGAACAAATCTTTATAATTTAATTACCTCTTGAAAGTGGTGCCTTCTGAAGCTAACACGAGATACAGACCATTCTGCAGAAGAATATACTCAGTAAAAAAAGACAGAGAGAGAGAGACACAGTGGAAAAAACTTAGACCCAAACACTGAGTTTCGAACATCCCAGAAAAGGAGACGTTGTCTTAAACAACCCATCCTAGACATGGCAAAATGTCTTAGGATGAATTGGGGAAGCTGCCAGTTGGGACACTCCCTAGTTCTATTCCAAAATCCCTTCCCTACATTTAGCCCAATTTAAGGTATCTCATGTAATTCTCAGAAAAGATCAAAGAATTCTCAAAGGAAGTCAACATCCAACTAAGATACAGCACACAGTATCTGACAGCAGGGAAGGAAGGGTAGACTCAAACCAGAACAACAAGGACAAAGAGTTCTAACTCCAAAGGGCTTGGGAATCACCGGCATAGAGCTTGCTGTAAAGTCTCCAACTGCAAAAAGAGAAAGGATTTATATCATGGCTACTATCCAGACTTTAGAAACATCTGAGCTTCCTCAAATACTAGTGTCAGAGGCACTGGAACCAGATCAACTCCATCTTGAGTAGGGACTGGGTAAAATGAGGCTGAGACCTACTGGGCTGCATTCCCAGGCAGTTAAGGCATGCTAAGTCACAGGATGAGACAGGAGGTCGGCACAAGATACAGGTCATAAAGACCTTGTTGATAAAACAGGCTGCGGTAAAGAAGCGGCCAAATCCCACCAAAACCAAGATGGCGACGAGAGTGACCTCTTGTTGTCCTCGCTGCTACACTCCTGTCAGCACCATGACAGTTTACAAATGCCAAGGCCACATCAGGAAGTTACCCTACATGGTCTAAAAAGGGGAGGCATGAATAATTCACCCCTTGTTTAGCATATCATCAAGAAATAACCATAAAAGTGGGAAACCAGCAGCCCTCGGGGCTGCTCTGTCTATGGATTAGCCATTCTTGATTCCTTTACTTTCTTAATAAACTTGCTTGCACTTTACTCTGTGGACTTGCCCTGAATTCTCTCTTGCACGAGACCCAAGAACCATCTCTTGGGGCCTGGATCATGACCCCTTTTCTGTAACACTAGCAGGCTGAAGGATGAAGTAATAATTGAGGCAAAGAGACTGTATTTCATATCTGCAAAAGAAATGAACAGTACTATCTGCAAATAACAGGTGCCTCCCACACAGAATACCTTTATTTCCCTCGCTGGGAACTTTTCATTCTTTTTCAAAATTTGTTATGGCTAAAATTAGCATTTGACATTCAGAAAAAAAACGCCAACATGTCTATATCTGCTATGATGACCTCACCATTCATTCACCTCTGAACTGACTTTCAAAACATAGTTAACTTCAGCCAGCAAACAACAGTCAGGCACAAAGATAAGGAAGACAATTAAAAGTTATACTAACAATAAAAACAAATGAGCAATATAATTCTCTGCAGTTGTCAGGACATGGTTTATGACTTTTACATTAAAAGGACTTTTTCTTTTTATTCTTACAGACAGGACAAAAGCAATGATGATCATGGCTAAAGGCAAGTCAGTGGGTGGGGAAAACGGCCTTGGGAAAGTTTCCAGTCTAAAAAAGCACGTTAACAGTACTTGATGGTGATATTTTGAATACCCAAAGAAAAGTCTGTCTACTCTTCTGCCCAGTCTGTAAGGGCAATGCTAACATTGAAACCAGCCAAGGAACAAGAGCAAACAGGACAATGGCCTGTCTTCATGTGAAAGGAAGCCAAAACAAAATGGCAGAACCAAAGCTAAGTCTGACTAAATTCTACTCATTCTCCAAGGTGAGGTTTCATTTCAGAACTCTCACATGAACTCTAATTGGTGTAAACCAAAAATGAAATTCTAAACCCCCTCAACTGACTGAATGGAGGACCTTCCTCTTGGCCAAGGGGATTCCAAAGTTAACCTGAAAGACTAGTGCAGGGCATGATGGGAAGGGAGGATCGGACACACCTCATTCTACCCTCCTCCCTTTGGAATTCGGGCACGACTGGCCGGCATGCATTAACATTCAAACAGAAATCTTAAGACTGAGAAAACAGATGCTTTGTAGCAATAAGATACCAAATTCCAGCCTGTCTCTAGTATAGCATCATGTGACAGATAGCAGGCCCTGAAAGAAATCAAAGTAGTTTACCCCAACACACATTTCTTTGACATATTTTGAAATGACCCTGCAAAGCTGTCTCTTGTGGGGAAAATCTACATTCTGTAGCGAATCCCATCCCCTTTCCACATCTTTTCCTGTTCCAAGAGAGATTTAACTAAGAGTCTGGCACCTTTACTGTCTAATCTCTCTGAAGCCTGTTACCTGGAGGCTTCATCTGCATAATAAAAACCTTGGTCTACACAACCCCTTATCTCAACCCAGACATTACTTTCTATGGATTCCACATCTTTAGATAATAACTTAACTCTTTCAACCAATTGCTAATCAGAAAACCTTTGAATGCACCTGTATTCAAAATCTATTCCAAAATCCCTTTCTTTGAATGCACTTGCATTCAGAGATTTTGGAAATCCCTGCTTCAAATTGTTCTGGCTTTCTAGACCAAACCAATGTACACCTTAAATACGATATTGACTGATGTCTGCCTCTAACTTCTGTCCCTCTAAAATGTATAAAACCAAGCTGCACCCCAACCACCTTGGGCACATGTTCACAGGACGTCCTGGGGCTGTATCATAGGCCTTGGTCATTGATATTTGGCTCAGAAGAAACCTCCTTAAATATTTTACAGAGTTTGACTCTTTTCATCGACATCAGCATATACACCTCCTCAAAGCCTCAGAGGCCAAGGAAACGCAGGTTTCCATCATGGTTCTTATGCCTGACTGTCAGAGGCGTTTGAACCAGAGCAACTCCATCTTGAATAGGAGCTGGGTAAAATAAGGCTGAGACCTACTGGGCTGCATTCCCAGATGGTTAAGGCATTCCAAGTCACAGAATAAGATAGGAGATTGGCACAAAACACAGGTCATAAAGACCTTGCTGATAAACCAGGTTGCAGTAAAGAAGCCGGCTGGCCAAAACCCACCAAAACCAAGATGGCGATGACAGTGACCTCTGGTTGTCCTCACTGCTACACTCCCGCCAGCGCCATGACAGATTACAAATGCCATGGTAACGACAGGAAGTTACCCTATATGGTCTAAAAAGGGGGGGCATGAATAATCTGTCCCTTGTTTAGCATATCATCCAGAAAGAACCATAAAAATGGGAAACCAGGCTGGGCACAGTGGCTCATGCCTATAATCCCAGAACTCTGGGAGGCCAAAGTGGCTGGATCACTTGAGGTCAAAAGTTCGAGACCATCCTGGCCAACATGGTGAAACTCCGTCTCTACTGAAAATACAAAAATTAGCCGGGCATGGTGGTAGGTGCCTATAATCCCAGCTACTCAGGAGGCTGAGGCAGGAGAATCGCTTGAACCCGGGGAGCGGAGGCTGTAGTGAGCCAAGATCACTCCACTTTACTCCAGCCTGGGCAAAAGAACGAGACTCCGTCTCAAAAATAAAAAAAAAAATAAAATAAAATAGGAAACCAGCAGTCCTCAGGGCTGCTCTATGGAATAGCCATTCTTTTATTCCTTTACCTTCCGAAGAAACTTGCTTTCACTTTACTCTATAAACTCACCCTGAATTCTTTCTTGTGTGAGATCCAAGAACCCTCTCTTGGGGTCTGGATCAGGACCCCTTTCCTGTAACACGACTATACGAGCACAACACATGGTTCGTGCCTTCGTGAAGGTCATCACGACACTATATTGCAACTACAAGCTTCTATCCTTGTTTCTGTCCCCTCCTGTGTCACCGCAGAGATTCTCAGAATGGAGGCAACATAGGTTAGCCCTCTCTGTTTGACCATGGTACCTGGTGTAGAGTGAGCACCCATCATATCTGTTCCATGAATACTGAATACATTTTACAAATAGGCAAACCCCGAGAAGATCTGCCGCACATAAACGTCTTTCCTCCTCGAGTCAGTTTCACTACTGAGGCTTCACATCTTTGAATCTGTTTTCCAGAGTCCTTAGATACATGGATAAATATATTTCTGAGAGCTCAGTATTTTTGCTACTGCTGTGAGTTCATATGTAGATGGAATAAAGAAAATGGCTCAAAATTGATGGGAAACGTTAGAAAGCAAAGAAATAGTGAGAGAAGAGAAGTAGAAAAGTAAAAGAAATGAGAAGACAAGATAAAATGGGAAGAAAGCAAAGAAATTCCAGACTTTGGCCTGAAATTTGCCATCACACTGCTGTCTCTTGTCATGGTTAAATTTTGGACGTTTCCAAATATACTCACATCTAACATGCTTCTCCTTACAAATGAAACGGATGAAGTCGGTTTTCACTTTTCCTAAAATGCTCAACAATGGTTACAAGTTCCTTTCTGATCCTTTCCTTCTTAGGAAAGAAGAAAAAAACACTCGATATAAAACCTTTCAGAACCTAAACCATGATATCAGCAGGATGACTTTGGACTCAGGAAAAGTCTAGAAAGTCTTTCAAGCTGAGATGCATTTTTGAGGTTTGGGGTGACAAAAAAACTAAAAACAGTGTCTATGTATAGAAGGGCTTTGCAAGTCTATCTGAAATAAAACATTCACAGAATAAAATTCCATTTCCATATAACGTCTAAGAGAAATCAAAGTTTTTTTGTTTGCTTGTTTTTGAGACACAGCCTCTCTCTGTCACCCAGGCTGGAGTGCAGTGGCGCAATCTCAGCTCAGAGCAAGCTCTGCCTCCCGGGTTCACGCCATTCTCCTGCCTCAGCCTCCTGAGTAGGTGGGACTACAGGCACCTGCCACCACATCTGGCTAATTTTTTGTATTTTTAGTAGAGACGAGGTTTCACCATGTTAGCCAGGATGGTCTCCATCTCCTGAACTCGTGATCCGCCTGCCTTGACCTCCCAAAGTGCTGGGATTACAGGCATGAGCCACCGCGCCCGGCCTCAAAGTTTTAAGAAAAACAAGTTATTAAGAAAGACTACCTTCATAGGTCCTTGAGCCTAGAGTTAACATTTTACTGAGTTTTGGTCCATTTGAATTCTTTAATAAGACTTGAAGAATTATTACTGCTGCATTTTATACCATCAAAGAGATTGTCTTTTATAACTTGAAAAATACACATTTCCTTTTTTCCCCACATTATTGTGCAAGAAAATTTATTTTATACAACTTCCAATCCATTCTGTGTCCTAGAGATTTGACTGAAACTGACTATAATCAAGCGCTTCTCAGTTTATCTGGGGATTTTAGTTGTCATCTTTGAGTATGGAATAGAATATAAAAAGAAAAGGTAAGTTTAGCCTTGTGGGTGCGGGGAAGAGTTTGACTTTTTACTTTTTCTTTTGAGACAGAGTCTCATTCTGTTGCCCAGGCTGGAGTGCAGTGGCACAATCTCGGCTTCACTCCTGGGTTGAAGCGATTCTTGTTCCTTGGCCTCCCGAGTAGCTGGGATTACAGGCATGTGTCACCACACCCAGAAAATTTTTTTTTTAAGTAGAGGCAGGGTTTCACCGTGTTGGCCAGGCTGGTCTCGAACTCCTGGCCTCCAGTGATCCACCCGCCTCAGCCTCCCAAAGTGCTGGGATTACAGGTGTGAGGACTTTTTTTTTTTTTTAACAAAAGGAACACATTAAAAATTTATTTAAAGGCCAAGCACAGTGGCTCATACCTATAATCCCAGTACTTTGAAAGGCCAAAGTGGGTGGATCACTTGAACCCAGGAGTTCAAGACCAGCCTGGGCAAGATGGTGAAAACCCATCTCTAAAAAAAATACAAAAACTAGCCAGGCCTGTCGCATATGCCTGTAGTCCCAGCTACCTGCGAGGCTGAGGCAGAAGGATCACTTCAGCCCAGCAGATGGAGGCTGCAGTGAGCCGAGGTCGCACCACTGCACTCCAGCCCCGGTGACAGATTGTGAGACTCTGTCTCCGAAAGAAAACAAAAATTAATGTAAGTCATATGTGACATGAGAGCCTTCAGAAATGAAGTCCAAACAACCCAGGAAAAACTGTCTATTTTTATGGACAGTCATGCTGACGTATGATTGGAGGACGAAAGGGTATCATTTAATGGTAATAAACAAGGAGAAACTTAGCAAGGGCTGCTTTTTCAAATTCTTCCTGGCCTCTGGGAATAGGGCACAACCCCACTGGAATGAGGGTCTTATGACCGACTTTCAGGCAAGCCAGAGAATTCTTTTTGGCCCACTTTAGGGGAAAAGGGTTAGAGAAGGTTAGAGAGTGACCTCCCTGCTTCTGCAGTTTCCTCCATTTCCTTCAGCCTGAAATATTCAGTATGCCAAGATGCTGTATTTTCAGGTAGCATTTCCTGCATCCCATCATATATACAGATCATTTTTGATTATGAAGCCTACAGGACAGGAACCATGTTTTATCACCTGTGTGTTGCCCAAGGCCTGAGCACTGCACCTGGCATACACCGTATCTCATATACTTTATTGAGGTATAATTTATCCACAATAAACTGCATTCATTTAAAGTGTGCCACTGAGTTCAACTTCCGTCACACCAAATTAAACAAAAAAACAGGTATCTGGCTGGGCATGGTGGCTCACACCTGTAATCCCAGCACTTTGGGAGGCCGAGGTGGGCGGATCACCTGAGGTCAGGAGTTCAAGACCAGCCTGGCCAACATGGCGAAACCCCATCTCTACTAAAAGTACAAAAATTAGCCAGGTGTGGTGGCGTCCACCTGTAGTCCCAGCTACTCAGGAGGCTGAGGCAGAAGAATTGCCTCCTGCCTCCGGAAGGCGGAGGCTGTAGTGAGCCAAGATCATGCCACTGCATTCCAGCCTGGGTGACAGAAGGAGACTCCGTCTCAAAAAAAAAAAAAAAATCCAAAAAGACTAACGTATAGTTGGAATGGCAGGAAAAAGACCTACTGTTTCATAATTACAACATAATGCAAGTAAGACTTTTATGAAGAGTTTCAAGGAAATGAATCCCAGGCCAAACCCACATCTGCCTTTCTCTGACTTAGACAATCTGCTGCTAGAAAGTAAGACAAGTGATATGGTTTGGCTGTGTCCCCACCCAAATCTCACCTTGAATTACAGTTCCCATAATTCCCACATGTTATGGGAGGGACCCAGTGGGAGTTCACTGAATCACGGGGTGGTTTCCCCCATACTGTTCTCGTGGTAGTGAGTAGGTCTCTCACGAGATCTGATGGTTTGATAAGGGGTTTCTGTTTTCACCTGGTTCTCATTCTCTCTCTTGCCTGCCGCCATGTAAGATGTGCCTTTTGCCTTCCACCATGATTGTGAGGCCTCCCCAGCCACATGGAACTGTGAGTCCATTAAACCTCTTTTTCTCTATAAATTACCCAGTCTCGGGTATGTCTTCATCAGCAGCGTGAAAACGGACTAATATGAAAACTCTAGGCCACTAAGGTCTTTCCCATTTTATTTAGAAAAACAAAATCTCCTCAGATTCGTCTTATATCAAAGACAGCAGAACAAACAAGTAAGTCCTCGATCCCTCTCTCAGGATTCCCGGGACAGTGAATTCAACTGCAAAGCACTCAGCAGTGTGGCTCTACAACCGGGACCCTTCACCGATGTGCACATTGACAACACTACCTACAGCAGGGAGGAGGACTGGTGAGAGCAAATCCCACAGCTGTTATCACAGCCAAGCCCTAAAACGCAGGCAAACAATAACATGCATATCCTTTCAGTCATGCCCATTTAACAGCAATAATGCTCCCTGAAAAAAATAAAGGGACATATACACGAGCACAGAGTAATTTTGAAAAACACGTGGCTCTCCCTGTCTGGCCTCCAGTCAATAAATGCCCCCACAGATGGGAGTTTTCGATAAATATTAAACCATAACAAACAACTGCTCAGGGCTCTGAGACGTATGCAGCCTTTTCAGCCACAGAAAGCACCTGTCAAGAATGACTTCGAATATGAGTTATGAAAAAGAAAAATAATGTTAGTCTGTGGTACACAAGGCAAAGTCCTCAGACAGCCTGCGCAATGGAACTTGGGATAATAGGCCCTGGTAGACACAGACGATAGTGCCTGATGTCTGTCCTACCCTGGCGACAGTCTCCCACACGTGACGGGCAAATGACTCTATTTTAATAAACAGGAGAGGAAGAGACAGGAAAGAGCCTGCACCAGAAAGCTGAGGTTTGGGGAAAATTCCATAGAAAGCAAAAAAATCAATTAGAAATATTAAGTCTTTCTTAAAAAATTAAAGTAACACGGTGCTGTCCAAGGATGCAGTTTGTATTTAACGTCCAAAGGCAGGTTTGCTGTTATTGTTATTTCACTAAAATCAAGACCATTAACTCTGTGGTAGAATGGAGCAAGGCAGGGAAGAAAAGCAAAGGTTTCCTCTAAGGAGAAATAATTTATTGCATCTCTACTGCAATGCCTCAACCTTCAAAAGTCATGGTGAGAATTCTAAGTCTCAAGTCATTCCTAGTGCAACAGCAAAAATGTGCAGCCACCACTCCTGGGTAAGAGGTCAGCAGTCGTTGCAAACTTCATTAAAATCTTTCATTCCCAAACCAGTGAAACAACATGTAAAAATGGCCCCAGTAAAGACAAGAATGTGACCTCAAAAAAATTTTTTTAAAGAAAGATATGTCCAGGAATTTCAACTGATGGAACACCCAGTGCTTCAAAAACAGGGTTTTCTTAGAATCTTCTTAAGAAAGAAACTGAATGAATGTCATGGGGGATTATACCTTTTTCATCTTCCCAATTCAGCAGGGACAATAGCCACATGTATAATTCCATCACGACAGGGGAAGCAAAGTCTCAGAGATGGAAAAAAGACACCAAGGGCAGCTTAACATGTGGTCCTTCTCCAAGGAAGTCAGCCATGCAGCAGCCAAAAACAAAAGGAAAAGGTCCCAAGCTCAAGGCGAAGGACCCACGACTTCAGACACCTGAATTGCACTTTGCCAAGCATGGTCCATCATGAGGTGTGCAGAAAAGAGCACGTGCTTCAAAAGGCCCCTCACAAGGTTGGCCCTTGGCTGGCACCTGAGAACCTGGATTCCAGGAGGGTTCCCACCATCCTAACTAAAGAGCAATTCACTGCACCTAAACAGTTTATGCAAGCAAAGTGGTTTTTGCTGAACATCTGCTTTCCTTCTGAGATTCTGGAATTTGGGTCTGTGCTAGGCAGCAGGTGCCTATGTGACCAGCTCTCAGTAAGAACCCTAACAAGAAGCTGATGTGAATATATACTGCAGGATTCCAAGTACATGACACTCTAGAAAAGGCAAAATACAGAGGCAGGAAAATAGTCAGTGATTGCCAGGGGTTGGAGACAGGGAGGGGAAAATATGCAGAAGAGGGAGAATTTTTAGGACAGTGAAACTACTCTGTATGATACGATCATGGTGGATCCATGTCATTAGCTATTTGTCCAAATCCATAGAATATGCAACACCAAGAGTGAGCCCTAATGTAAACTATGGACTCAGGGTGATGGTGACGTGTCATTGTGGGTTCATCAGCTGTAACAAAATGCCCCGCTCTGCTGGGGGATGTTGATAGTAGGAGAGCCTGTGCATGTGTGTAGGGCAGCGAGTATATAGGAAATCTCCGTATCTTCCATTTGGTTTTGCTATGAACCTAAAAATGCTTTAAAAACTAAAGTCTGGGCTGGGCGCGGTAGCTCACGCCTGTAATCCCAGCACTTTGGGAGGTCAAGGCGGGTGGATCACCTAAGGATGAGAGTTTGAGACCAGCCTGGTCAACATGGTGAAACCCCGTCTCCACTAAGAAAATACAAAAAATTAGCCAGGCGTGGTAGCAGACGCCGGTAATCCCAGCTACTTGGGAAACTGAGGTAGGAAAATCTCTTGAACCCAGGAGGCGGAGGTTGCAGTAAGCCGAGATCGTGCCACTGCACTCCAGCCTGGGTGACAAAGCGAGACTCTAGATAGATTACATAGACAGACAGACAGACAGACAGACAGATGGACAGATAGATGATAGATAGACAGATAGATAGATAGTCGGTCTGTTTAAGAAAAAAAAATCTGGCTGCTGAGTCTAGCAAGCTTCCCTAGTAGATGCCATTTCACACGTCACCACCACTCCTTGCTGATTGAACTAAGCTTGCCCTGTGTGCCCACCCCCCAGGAAGAGGACACTGGGAAATTTGTGCCCACCTGATCTGCGCCCTGCCCCTGGTGCCTCTCCCCTGTGCTGATTTTGCTCGAAGTCCTTTCGCTGTGATAAATCTTAGCCATGACTATGACCATAGGCTGAGAACTGTGAGTCCGTGGAGCGAATCATCAAACCTGGGGGTGGTCTTGGGGACCAACGCATGGGCACTTAATACGTGTATTGTGACTGATCACCTAAGCTCTAAAAATACCATAGATCCTGTCACACTGAGATCACCCGTTGGTCTCAGGGATCCTGTATCAAGTCCTCATGCCAGCATGCCCACACAGATGCCCCCATGGGGCTTTGCTGCCGAGACAGCTTCCTCCATGAGGGCTGAGATGGGCTAACTACAGCATCCGAGCTTATGAGATTAGAATGTCAGGCTTCCCACCAGGTAGGGGAACCTCTGCCCCCAAAGACTTTACCATCACCTCCTCGCCACCAGTGAACATAAACCCCACAGAAGTCAAAAGTTGTCCTTTCTTTCAAAAAACAAAGTCAGCAAGCCTCAATAAAATCCAGAATAATGCCTCCGACCAGCTTCCTAGATTTCCTTCGACGGTCACTGCTCTTCATTCTCCTTGGACAAGCCTTCATCCAGCGAGGCTGAGGGATGTCCCTGAGAGGGGGCATGTGGCTTCCAGTGAATGTGAAGAGGAGGCACTCCACAAACCCTTAGGTCCACAGCAGACTCTAGACTCTATCGACAGGATGCCCAGGCTGGCCCAGGGAACTAGAACCCACCCCTGGGCACACATGTGAAGCCTGTACGTGGAAGAGGAAGACCAAGGAACCAGAGTGGCTTTCAGGCCAAGGACAGGCTTGAGTCACAGATGAAGCCGGGGCCCGGAAAGCCATTGGCACTCAGTCTCCCACCCCTAGAAGCAAGCCTTCCTTCCCGAGCTGTGTGGCACAAAGGTACAGTCCTCTCAGGCTGTTCACCTGCATGCAATCACAGCTCAGAGCTGGACAGCCTAAGACTCATTCCCGACTGTCCCCACCACCCCATTCTGCTCATCTACAGACAAGGGTGGAGCCTCAGCAAGCTCTAGCATCTGATCCCTTCTTAACCTACTCTGTAAAGGAACATGCAAGGAAGGACCCACTCATGCATTTAGCACTGACTTATGGTGCCCAGGAGGCAGCACGAATACAAGACAATGAGAAGGGTTTGGACCAGCATTCAAAGAGCTCACCGCTGAGTTCTAAAACTGCATTCCCTGTCACCTCTGAAAATACCTCCAGCCACAGGCGACCTACATCCCTCATCTGTTAAAATGCAAACAAAAGAGGTCTTGTTGGAATCCTGCCAGGTATTAAAGGGTAGGAGAGTGGAAAGCAGTGGAAAAGCCTGGAGATGACCACTAAGCCATCCTCCAACCTGCTGGGCACAGAGCACGTCTCACCTTCTGACTCAGAGCTGCCAACAGACAGGCTGCTTGGGAGTGGAGGGGACGAGCAGGTCACAGGATGCCCGCCGGTATTACCTTGAGGTAACAGGAACTCCAGCCTGTTGCACAAAGGTGAGCATCTACAGGAGGCCCTTCCAAAACAAGCAGGGAAGTGCAATTGATGGAAATGAGGTGCTGAGCAGGTGAGGTAAGAAAACCACGGAAGCAGCAGAGAACCTGGAGTTAGGCTTGGAATATGGAAACCTAGGGCGGATCCATCAGTGTCAGTGGGGCTTCTTGTTCAGGGACTGCAATTGGCCTCCTGCTCCCCATCACCTTTTCTTTTTTTTTTTTTTTTTTTTTTTTTGAGACAGAGTTTCACTCCTCGCCCATGCCGGAGTGCAGTGGCACAATCTCAGCTCACTGTAACCTCTGCCTCCCAAGTTCAAGCCATTCTCCTGCCTCAGCCTCCGGAGTAGCTGGGATTACAGGCACCCACACCACCACCACACCTAGCTAATTTTTGTATTTTTAGTAGGGACAGTGTTTCACCATGTTGGCCAGGATGGTCTCGAACTCCTGACCTCAGGTGATCCACCCGCCTCAGCCTCCCAAAGTGCTGGGATTACCAGTGTGAGCCACTGCGCCCAGCCTTCCCTCCCCTCCTGATTCCTCCTGGGCTGCTTTCTCAAAGATAACTCTCCTGCAGGGAGGTCAGGGTCATGCCCAAGGGCCAGCCTTTTCTAGACGGATGATTCCCACATCCTTCAAGTCTCAGAACACCCAGCACAGACTGAAGGCGATCAAGGTGACCGGGCTACCACTCAGCATTGGGAAGCATTACCCGGTGAACATCAAATGTGTATTTACACACCGTTCAGAGTATTATTTAACAGATTTGAAAACAGCACAAGGACGTTTTTCACTTTGCAATTAGGGAAAGAGATTTGCTAATTTAGGTCCTTAAATCCTTGGAATCTTTAAGCAGTCACTTGCTGGATGTCATTATCCCTAAAGCCACCAGCTAATTCTAGGCCAGTAATGAGAGAGCTCACAGCTTGCACAAACAACGGCTGGGCTCTATGAGCCTGGAGCCAAGCCAATCTCACAATTCTGCCTAGATCCAGCCCCGTTCCTGGTCACTAGGGTAGTGGGCATCTCATGGGCATCCATGATCAAGGCTCAGCGCCAGACCCCTTGTACACAGAATCAGGAAATCTCAAGCGCTGAAGGGCACTCGTTTACAGAGGAGATTTGGAAAGGCCAAATGGCTTACCTGGGGTCACAAGTCAGGGGTGTGTCTGACTCCAAACCCCAAACACTCTATGCTATCATCCTGTACCCAG